>NC_000010.11:40493445-40583118 GCF_000001405.40 Homo sapiens
TTGAGATGGAGTCTACTCTGCTGCCCAGGCAGGAGTTCAGCATCATCTGCTTACTGCAACCTCCACCTCCTGGGTTCAAGCGATTCTCCTGGCTCAGCCTCCCGAGTAGCTGGGATCTGTGAGTTGAATACACACAACACAAAGGATTTACTGAGAATTCTTCGTCATTCGCAGAAACTAGTTTGTGATGTGTGCCTTCAACTCACAGAGTTTAACCTTTCTTTTCATAGAGCAGTTTGGAAACACTCTATTTGTAAAGTCTGCAAGTGGATATTTGGACCTCTTTGAGGCCTTCGTTGGAAACGGGATTTCTTCATATAACGCTAGACAGAAGAATTCTCAGTAACTTCTTTGTGTTGTGTGTATTCAACTCACAGAGTTGAACCTTTCTTGAGAGAGAGCAGAGTTGAAACACTCTTTTTGTGGAATTTGCTAGTGCAGATTTCAAACGCTTCGAAGACAGTGATAGAAAAGGATATATCTTCGTATTAAAACTAGACAAAATCATTCTCAGAAAACACTTTGTGATGTGTGTGTTCAACTCACAGAGTTTAACCTTTCTGTAATCGAGCAGTTTGGAAATACACTCTTTGTAAGTCTGCAGGTGGATAATTGTCCCTCTATGAGCCCTTCGTTGGAAACGGGATTTCCTCATATAATGCTAGACAGAAGAATTCTCAGTAACTTCTTTCTGTTGTTTGTATTCAACTCACAGATTTGAACTTTCCTTTAGAGAGAGCAGATTTGAAACACTCTGCTTTTGGAAATTGTAAGTGCAGATTACAAGCGCTTCTAGGCCTATGGCAGAAAAGGAAATATCTTCGTGTAAAAACTACACAGAATCATTCTCTACAACTACTTTGTGATGTGTGCATTCAACTCACAGAGTTTAACCTTTCTTTTCATAGAGCAGTTTGGAAACACTCTGTTTGTAAAGTCTGCAGGTGCTTATTTGGACTTCTTTGAGGCCTTCGTTGGAAACGGGATTTCTTCATATAATGCTAGACAGAAGAATTCTCAGTCACTTCTTTGTGTTGTGTTTATTCAAGTCACAGAGTTGAACCTTCCTTTACACAGAGCAGTTTTGAAAAACTCTTTCTGTGGAATTTGCAAGTGGAGATTTCAAGCGATTTGAGGCTAATCTTTGAAATGGAAATATCTTCGTGTAAAAACTACACAGAATCATTCTCAGAAACTGCTTTGTTATGTGTGCGTTCAGCTCACAGAGTTCCACCTTTCTTTTCATAGAGCAGTTTGGAAAGACTCTGTCTGTAAAGTCTGCAAGTGATTACTTGGACCCCTTTGAGGACTTCGTTGGAAGCGGGATTTTTTCATTTACTGCTAGACAGAAGAATTCTCAGTAAATCCTTTGTGTTGTGTGTATTCAACTCACAGAGTGGAACCTTCCTTTATTCAGAGCAGTTTTGAAACACTCTTTTTGTGGAATTTGCAAGTGGAGATTTCAAGCGAATTCACGCCAATCTTAGACATGGAAACATCTTCGTATTAAAAGTACACAGAGTCATTCGCAGAAACTAGTTTGTGATGTGTGCGTTCAACTCACGGAGTTTAACCTTTCTTTTCATAGAGCAGTTTGGAAACACTCTATTTGTAAAGTCTGCAAGTGGATATTTGGACGTCTTTGAGGCCTTCGTTGGAAACGGGATTTCTTCATATAACGCTAGACAGAAGAATTCTCAGTAACTTCTTTGTGTTGTGTGTATTCCACTCACAGAGTTGAACCTTTCTTGAGAGAGAGCAGAGTTGAAACACTCTGTTTGTGGAATTTGCTAGTGCCGATTTCAAACGCTTCGAAGACAGTGATAGAAAAGGATATATCTTCGTATTAAAACTAGACAAAATCATTCTCAGAAAACACTTTGTGATGTGTGTGTTCAACTCACAGAGTTTAACCTTTCTTTAATCGAGCAGTTTGGAAATACACTCTTTGTAAGTCTGCAGCTGGATAATTGTCCCTCTATGAGCCCTTCGTTGGAAACGGGATTTCCTCTTATAATGCTAGACAGAAGAATTCTCAGTAACTTCTTTGTGTTGTTTGTATTCAACTCACAGATTTGAACCTTCCTTTGGAGAGAGCAGATTTGAAACACTCTGTTTTTGGAATTTGCAAGTGCAGATTTCAAGCGCTTCTAGGCCTATGGCAGAAAATTAAATATCTTCGTATAAAAACTACACAGAATCATTCTCAACAACTACTTTGTGATGTGTGCATTCACCTCACAGAGTTTAACCTTTCTTTTCATAGAGCAGTTTGGAAACACTCTGTTTGTAAAGTCTGCAGGTGCTTATTTGGACTTCTTTGAGGCCTTCGTTGGAAACGGGATTTCTCATATAATGCTAGACAGAAGAATTCTCAGTCACTTCTTTGTGTTGTGTGTATTCAAGTCACAGAGTTGAACCTTCCTTTAGACAGAGCAGTTTTGAAAAATTCTTTCTGTGTAATTTGCAAGTGGAGATTTCAAGCGATTTGAGGCTAATCTTTGAAATGGAAATATCTTCGTGTAAAAACTACACAGAATCATTCTCAGAAACTGCTTTGTCATCTGTGCGTTCAGTTCACAGAGTTTCACCTTTCTCTTCATAGAGCAGTTTGGCAAGACTCTGTCTGTAAAGTCTGCAAGTGATTAGTTAGACCCCTTTGAGGCCTTCGTTGGAAGCGGGATTTCTCATTTACTGCTAGACAGAAGAATTCTCAGTAAATCCTTTGTGTTGTGTGTATTCAACTCACAGAGTGGAACCTTCCTTTATTCAGAGCAGTTTTGAAACACTCTTTTTGTGGAATTTGCAAGTGGAGATTTCAAGCGATTTGACGCCAATCTTAGACATGGAAATATCTTCATATTAAAAGTACACAGAGTCATTCGTAGAAACTAGTTTGTGATGTGTGCCTTCAACTCACAGAGTTTAACCTTTCTTTTCATAGAGCAGTTGGGAAACACTCTATTTGTAAAGTCTGCAAGTGGATATTTGGACCTCTTTGAGGCCTTCGTTGGAAACGGGATTTCTTCATATAACGCTAGACAGAAGAATTCTCAGTAACTTCTTTGTGTTGTGTGTATTCAACTCACAGAGTTGAACCTTTCTTTAGAGGGAGCAGAGGTGAAACACTCTTTTTGTGGAATTTGCTAGTGTAGATTTCAAACGCTTCGAAGACAGTGATAGAAAAGGATATATCTTCGTATTAAAAGTAGACAAAATCATTCTCAGAAAACTCTTTGTGATGTGTGTGTTCAACTCACAGAATTTAACCTTTCTTTAATCGAGCAGTTTGGAAATACACTCTTTGTAAGTCTGCAGGTGGATATTTGGCCCTCTTTGAGCCCTTCGTTGGAAACGGGATTTCCTCATATAATGCTAGACAGAAGAATTCTCAGTCACTTCTTTGTGTTGTGTGTATTCAAGTCACAGAGTTGAACCTTCCTTTAGACAGAGCAGTTTTGAAAAATTCTTTCTGTGGAGTTTGCAAGTGGAGATTTCAAGCGATTTGAGGCTAATCTTTGAAATGGAAATATCTTCGTGTAAAAACTACACAGAATCATTCTCAGAAACTGCTTTGTCATCTGTGCGTTCAGTTCACAGAGTTTCACCTTTCTCTTCATAGAGCAGTTTGGAAAGACTCTGTCTGTAAAGTCTGCAAGTGATTAGTTAGACCCCTTTGAGGCCTTCGTTGGAAGCGGGATTTCTCATTTACTGCTAGACAGAAGAATTCTCAGTAAATCCTTTGTGTTGTGTGTATTCAACTCACAGAGTGGAACCTTCCTTTATTCAGAGCAGTTTTGAAACACTCTTTTTGTGCAATTTGCAAGTGGAGATTTCAAGCGATTTGACGCCAATCTTAGACATGGAAATATCTTCATATTAAAAGTACACAGAAGTCTTCGTAGAAACTAGTTTGTGATGTGTGCCTTCAACTCACAGAGTTTAACCTTTCTTTTCATAGAGCAGTTGGGAAACACTCTATTTGTAAAGTCTGCAAGTGGATATTTGGACCTCTTTGAGGCCTTCGTTGGAAACGGGATTTCTTCATATAACGCTAGACAGAAGAATTCTCAGTAACTTCTTTGTGTTGTGTGTATTCAACTCACAGAGTTGAACCTTTCTTTAGAGGGAGCAGAGGTGAAACACTCTTTTTGTGGAATTTGCTAGTGTAGATTTCAAACGCTTCGAAGACAGTGATAGAAAAGGATATATCTTCGTATTAAAAGTAGACAAAATCATTCTCAGAAAACTCTTTGTGATGTGTGTGTTCAACTCACAGAGTTTAACCTTTCTTTAATCGAGCAGTTTGGAAATACACTCTTTGTAAGTCTGCAGGTGGATATTTGGCCCTCTTTGAGCCCTTCGTTGGAAACGGGATTTCCTCATATAATGCTAGACAGAAGAATTCTCAGTAACTTCTTTGTGTTGTTTGTATTCAACACACAGATTTGAACCTTCCTTTAGAGAGAGCAGATTTGAAACACTCTGTTTTTGGAATTTGCAAGTGCAGATTTCAAGCGCTTTTAGGCCTATGGCAGAAAAGGAAATATCTTCGTATAAAAACTACACAGAATCATTCTCAACAACTACTTTGTGATGTGTGCGTTCAACTCACAGAGTTTAACCTTTCTTTTCATAGAGCAGTTTGGAAACACTCTGTTTGTAAAGTCTGCAGGTGCTTATTTGGACTTCTTTGAGGCCTTCGTTGGAAACGGGATTTCTTCATGTAATGCTAGACAGAAGAATTCTCAGTCACTTCTTTGTGTTGTGTGTATTCAAGTCACAGAGTTGAACCTTCCTTTACACAGAGCAGTTTTGAAAAACTCTTTCTGTGGAATTTGCAAGTGGAGATTTCAAGCGATTTGAGGCTAATCTTTGAAATGGAAATAGCTTCGTGTAAAAACCACACAGAATGATTCTCAGAAACTGCTTTGTTATGTGTGCGTTCAGCTCACAGAGTTCCACCTTTCTTTTCATAGAGCAGTTTGGAAAGACTCTGTCTGTAAAGTCTGCAAGTGATTACTTGGACCCCTTTGAGGACTTCGTTGGAAGCGGGATTTTTTCATTTACTGCTAGACAGAAGAATTCTCAGTAAATCCCTTTGTGTTGTGTGTATTCAACTCACAGAGTGGAACCTTCCTTTATTCAGAGCAGTTTTGAAACACTCTTTTGGTGGAATTTGCAAGTGGAGATTTCAAGCGAATTCACGCCAATCTTAGACATGGAAACATCTTCGTATTAAAAGTACACAGAGTCATTCGCAGAAACTAGTTTGTGATGTGTGCCTTCAACTCACAGAGTTTAAGCTTTCTTTTCATAGAGCAGTTTGGAAACACTCTATTTGTAAAGTCTGCAAGTGGATATTTGGACCTCTTTGAGGCCTTCGTTGGAAACGGGATTTCTTCATATAACGCTAGACAGAAGAATTCTCTGTAACTTCTTTGTGTTGTGTGTATTCCACTCACAGAGTTGAACCTTTCTTGAGAGAGAGCAGAGTTGAAACACTCTTTCTGTGGAATTTGCTAGTGCAGATTTCAAACGCTTCGAAGACAGTGATAGAAAAGGATATATCTTCGTATTAAAACTAGACAAAATCATTCTCAGAAAACACTTTGTGATGTGTGTGTTCAACTCACAGAGTTTAACCTTTCTTTAATCGAGCAGTTTGGAAATGCACTCTTTGTAAGTCTGCAGGTGGATAATTGTCCCTCTATGAGCCCTTCGTTGGAAACGGGATTTCCTCATATAATGCTAGACAGAAGTATTCTCAGTAACTTCTTTGTGTTGTTTGTATTCAACTCACAGATTTGAAACTTCCTTTAGAGGGAGCAGATTTGAAACACGCTGGTTTTGGAATTTGCAAGTGCAGATTGCAAGCGCTTCTAGGCCTATGGCAGAAAAGGAAATATCATCGTATAAAAACTACACAGAATCATTCTCAACAACTACTTTGTGATGTGTGCGTTCAACTCACAGAGTTTAACCTTTCTTTTCATAGAGCAGTTTGGAAACACTCTGTTTGTAAAGTCTGCAGGTGCTTATTTGGAATTCTTTGAGGCCTTCGTTGGAAACGGGATTTCTTCATATAATGCTAGACAGAAGAATTCTCAGTCACTTCTTTGTGTTGTGTGTATTCAAGTCACAGAGTTGAACCTTCCTTTACACAGAGCAGTTTTGAAAAACTCTTTCTGTGGAATTTGCAAGTGGAGATTTCAAGCGATTTGAGGCTAATCTTTGAAATGGAAATATCTTCGTGTAAAAACTACACAGAATCATTGTCAGAAACTGCTTTGTTATGTGTGCGTTCAGCTCACAGAGTTCCACCTTTGTTTTCATAGAGCAGTTTGGAAAGACTCTGTCTGTAAAGTCTGCAAGTGATTACTTGGACCCCTTTGAGGACTTCGTTGGAAGCGGGATTTTTTCATTTACTGCCAGACAGAAGAATTCTCAGTAAATCCTTTGTGTTGTGTGTACTCAACTCACAGAGTGGAACCTTCCTTTATTCAGAGCAGTTTTGAAACACTCTTTTTGTGGAATTTGCAAGTGGAGATTTCAAGCGAATTCACGCCAATCTTAGACATGGAAACATCTTCGTATTAAAAGTACACAGAGTCATTCGCAGAAACTAGTTTGTGATGTGTGCCTTCAACTCACGGAGTTTAACCTTTCTTTTCATAGAGCAGTTTGGAAACACTCTATTTGTAAAGTCTGCAAGTGGATATTTGGACCTACTTTGAGGCCTTCGTTGGAAACGGGATTTCTTCATATAACGCTAGACAGAAGAATTCTCAGTAACTTCTTTGTGTTGTGTGTATTCAACTCACAGAGTTGAACCTTTCTTGAGAGAGAGCAGAGTTGAAACACTCTGTTTGTGGAATTTGCTAGTGCAGATTTCAAACGCTTCGAAGACAGTGATAGAAAAGGATATATCTTCGTATTAAAACTAGACAAAATCATTCTCAGAAAACACTTTGTGATGTGTGTGTTCAACTCACAGAGTTTAACCTTTCTTTAATCGAGCAGTTTGGAAATACACTCTTTGTAAGTCTGCAGCTGGATAATTGTCCCTCTATGAGCCCTTCGTTGGAAACGGGATTTCCTCTTATAATGCTAGACAGAAGAATTCACAGTAACTTCTTTGTGTTGTTTGTATTCAACTCACAGATTTGAACCTTCCTTTAGAGAGAGCAGATTTGAAACACTCTGTTTTCGAATTTGCAAGTGCAGATTACAAGCGCTTCTAGGCCTATGGCAGAAAAGGAAATATCTTCGTATAAAAACTACACAGAATCATTCTCAACAACTACTTTGTGATGTGTGCGTTCAACTCACAGAGTTTAACCTTTCTTTTCATAGAGCAGTTTGGAAACACTCTGTTTGTAAAGTCTGCAGGTGCTTATTTGGACTTCTTTGAGGCCTTCGTTGGAAACGGGATTTCTTCATATAATGCTAAACAGAAGAATTCTCAGTCACTTCTTTGTGTTGTGTGTATTCAAGTCACAGAGTTGAACCTTCCTTTACACAGAGCAGTTTTGAAAAACTCTTTCTGTGGAATTTGCAAGTGGAGATTTCAAGCGATTTGAGGCTAATCTTTGAAATGGAAATATCTTCGTGTAAAAACTACACAGAATCATTCTCAGAAACTGCTTTGTTATGTGTGCGTTCAGCTCACAGAGTTCCACCTTTCTTTTCATAGAGCAGTTTGGAAAGACTCTGTCTGTAAAGTCTGCAAGTGATTACTTGGACCCCTTTGAGGACTTCGTTGGAAGCGGGATTTTTTCATTTACTGCTAGACAGAAGAATTCTCAGTAAATCCTTTGTGTTGTGTGTATTCAACTCACAGAGTGGAACCTTCCTTTATTCAGAGCAGTTTTGAAACACTCTTTTTGTGGAATTTGCAAGTGGAGATTTCAAGCGAATTCACGCCAATCTTAGACATGGAAACATCTTCGTATTAAAAGTACACAGAGTCATTCGCAGAAACTAGTTTGTGATGTGTGCCTTCAACTCACAGAGTTTAACCTTTCTTTTCATAGAGCAGTTTGGAAACACTCTATTTGTAAAGTCTGCAAGTGGATATTTGGACCTCTTTGAGGCCTTCGTTGGAAACGGGATTTCTTCATGTAACGCTAGACAGAAGAATTCTCAGTAACTTCTTTGTGTTGTGTGTATTCAACTCACAGAGTTGAACCTTTCTTGAGAGAGAGCAGAGTTGAAACACTCTGTTTGTGGAATTTGCTAGTGCAGATTTCAAACGCTTCGAAGACAGTGATAGAAAAGGATATATCTTCGTATTAAAACTAGACAAAATCATTCTCAGAAAACACTTTGTGATGTGTGTGTTCAACTCACAGAGTTTAACCTTTCTTTAATCGAGCAGTTTGGAAATACACTCTTTGTAAGTCTGCAGCTGGATAATTGTCCCTCTATGAGCCCTTCGTTGGAAACGGGATTTCCTCTTATAATGCTAGACAGAAGAATTCTCAGTAAATTCTTTGTGTTGTTTGTATTCAACTCACAGATTTGAACCTTCCTTTAGAGAGGGCAGATTTGAAACACTCTGTTTTTGGAATTAGCAAGTGCAGATTTCAAACGCTTCTAGGCCTATGGCAGAAAAGGAAATATCTTCGTATAAAAACTACACAGAATCATTCTCAACAACTACTTTGTGATGTGTGCGTTCAACTCACAGAGTTTAACCTTTCTTTTCATAGAGCAGTTTGGAAACACTCTGTTTGTAACGCGTGCAAGTGCTTTTTTGGACTTCATTGAGGCCTTCGTTGGAAACGGGATTTCTTCATATAATGCTAGACGGAAGAATTCTCAGTCACTTCTTTGTGTTGTGTGTATTCAAGTCACAGAGTTGAACCTTCCTTTAGACAGAGCAGTTTTGAAAAATTCTTTCTGTGGAGTTTGCAAGTGGAGATTTCAAGCGATTTGAGGCTAATCTTTGAAATGGAAATATCTTCGTGTAAAAACTACACAGAATCATTCTCAGAAACTGCTTTGTCATCTGTGCGTTCAGTTCACAGAGTTTCACCTTTCTCTTCATAGAGCAGTTTGGAAAGACTCTGTCTGTAAAGTCTGCAAGTGATTAGTTAGACCCCTTTGAGGCCTTCGTTGGAAGCGGGATTTCTCATTTACTGCTAGACAGAAGAATTCTCAGTAAATCCTTTGTGTTGTGTGTATTCAACTCACAGAGTGGAACCTTCCTTTATTCAGAGCAGTTTTGAAAAACACTTTTTGTGGAATTTGCAAGTGGAGATTTCAAGCGATTTGACGCCAATCTTAGACATGGAAATATCTTCATATTAAAAGTACACAGAGTCATTCGTGGAAACTAGTTTGTGATGTGTGCCTTCAACTCACAGAGTTTAACCTTTCCTTTCATAGAGCAGTTTGGAAACACTCTGTTTGTAAAGTCTGCAAGTGGATATTTGGACCTCTTTGAGGCCTTCGTTGGAAACGGGATTTCTTCATACAACGCTAGACAGAAGAATTCTCAGTAACTTCTTTGTGTTGTGTGTATTCAACTCACAGAGTTGAAACTTTCTTTAGAGAGAGCAGAGTTGAAACACTCTGTTTTTGGAATTTGCAACTGCAGATTTCAAGCGATTCTAGGCCTATGGCAGAAAAGGAAATATCTTCGTATAAAAACTACACAGAATCATTCTCAACAACTACTTTGTGATGTGTGCGTTCAACTCACAGAGTTTAACCTTTCTTTTCATAGAGCAGTTTGGAAACACTCTGTTTGTAAAGTCTGCAGGTGCTTATTTGGACTTCTTTGAGGCCTTCGTTGGAAACGGGATTTCTTCATATAATGCTAGACAGAAGAATTCTCAGTCACTTCTTTGTGTTGTGTGTATTCAAGTCACAGAGTTGAACCTTCCTTTACACAGAGCAGTTTTGAAAAACTCTTTCTGTGGAATTTGCAAGTGGAGATTTCAAGCGATTTGAGGCTAATCTTTGAAATGGAAATATCTTCGTGTAAAAACTACACAGAATCATTCTCAGAAACTGCTTTGTTATGTGTGCGTTCAGCTCACAGAGTTCCACCTTTCTTTTCATAGAGCAGTTTGGAAAGACTCTGTCTGTAAAGTCTGCAAGTGATTACTTGGACCCCTTTGAGGACTTCGTTGGAAGCGGGATTTTTTCATTTACTGCTAGACAGAAGAATTCTCAGTAAATCCTTCGTGTTGTGTGTATTCAACTCACAGAGTGGAACCTTCCTTTATTCAGAGCAGTTTTGAAACACTCTTTTTGTGGAATTTGCAAGTGGAGATTTCAAGCGAATTCACGCCAATCTTAGACATGGAAACATCTTCGTATTAAAAGTACACAGAGTCATTCGCAGAAACTAGTTTGTGATGTGTGCCTTCAACTCACAGAGTTTAAGCTTTCTTTTCATAGAGCAGTTTGGAAACACTCTATTTGTATAGTCTGCAAGTGGATATTTGGACCTCTTTGAGGCCTTCGTTGGAAACGGGATTTCTTCATATAACGCTAGACAGAAGAATTCTCTGTAACTTCTTTGTGTTGTGTGTATTCCACTCACAGAGTTGAACCTTTCTTGAGAGAGAGCAGAGTTGAAACACTCTTTCTGTGGAATTTGCTAGTGCAGATTTCAAACGCTTCGAAGACAGTGATAGAAAAGGATATATCTTCGTATTAAAACTAGACAAAATCATTCTCAGAAAACACTTTGTGATGTGTGTGTTCAACTCACAGAGTTTAACCTTTCTTTAATCGAGCAGTTTGGAAATGCACTCTTTGTAAGTCTGCAGGTGGATAATTGTCCCTCTATGAGCCCTTCGTTGGAAACGGGATTTCCTCATATAATGCTAGACAGAAGAATTCTCAGTCACTTCTTTGTGTTGTGTGTATTCAAGTCACAGAGTTGAACCTTCCTTTAGACAGAGCAGTTTT
The DNA here is from genome assembly GCF_000001405.40 of Homo sapiens. Lineage (NCBI taxonomy): Eukaryota > Metazoa > Chordata > Mammalia > Primates > Hominidae > Homo > Homo sapiens. The sequence goes on from NC_000010.11 coordinate 40,504,375, forward strand.
GAAAAATTCTTTCTGTGGAGTTTGCAAGTGGAGATTTCAAGCGATTTGAGGCTAATCTTTGAAATGGAAATATCTTCGTGTAAAAACTACACAGAATCATTCTCAGAAACTGCTTTGTCATCTGTGCGTTCAGTTCACAGAGTTTCACCTTTCTCTTCATAGAGCAGTTTGGAAAGACTCTGTCTGTAAAGTCTGCAAGTGATTAGTTAGACCCCTTTGAGGCCTTCGTTGGAAGCGGGATTTCTCATTTACTGCTAGACAGAAGAATTCTCAGTAAATCCTTTGTGTTGTGTGTATTCAACTCACAGAGTGGAACCTTCCTTTATTCAGAGCAGTTTTGAAAAACACTTTTTGTGGAATTTGCAAGTGGAGATTTCAAGCGATTTGATGCCAATCTTAGACATGGAAATGTCTTCATATTAAAAGTACACAGAGTCATTCGTAGAAACTAGTTTGTGATGTGTGCCTTCAACTCACAGAGTTTAACCTTTCTTTTCATAGAGCAGTTGGGAAACACTCTATTTGTAAAGTCTGCAAGTGGATATTTGGACCTCTTTGAGGCCTTCGTTGGAAACGGGATTTCTTCATATAACGCTAGACAGAAGAATTCTCAGTAACTTCTTTGTGTTGTGTGTATTCAACTCACAGAGTTGAACCTTTCTTTAGAGGGAGCAGAGGTGAAACACTCTTTTTGTGGAATTTGCTAGTGTAGATTTCAAACGCTTCGAAGACAGTGATAGAAAAGGATATATCTTCGTATTAAAAGTAGACAAAATCATTCTCAGAAAACTCTTTGTGATGTGTGTGTTCAACTCACAGATTTTAACCTTTCTTTAATCGAGCAGTTTGGAAATACACTCTTTGTAAGTCTGCAGGTGGATATTTGGCCCTCTTTGAGCCCTTCGTTGGAAACGGGATTTCCTCATATAATGCTAGACAGAAGAATTCTCAGTAACTTCTTTGTGTTGTTTGTATTCAACACACAGATTTGAACCTTCCTTTAGAGAGAGCAGATTTGAAACACTCTGTTTTTGGAATTTGCAAGTGCAGATTTCAAGCGCTTCTAGGCCTATGGCAGAAAAGGAAATATCTTCGTATAAAAACTACACAGAATCATTCTCAACAACTACTTTGTGATGTGTGCGTTCAACTCACAGAGTTTAACCTTTCTTTTCATAGAGCAGTTTGGAAACACTCTGTTTGTAAAGCCTGCAAGTGCTTTTTTGGACTTCATTGAGGCCTTCGTTGGAAACGGGATTTCTTCATATAATGCTAGACAGAAGAATTCTCAGTCACTACTTTGTGTTGTGTGTATTCAAGTCACAGAGTTGAACCTTCCTTTAGACAGAGCAGTTTTGAAAAATTCTTTCTGTGGAATTTGCAAGTGGAGATTTCAAGCGATTTGAGGCTAATCTTTGAAATGGAAATATCTTCGTGTAAAAACTACACAGAATCATTCTCAGAAACTGCTTTGTCATCTGTGCGTTCAGTTCACAGAGTTTCACCTTTCTCTTCATAGAGCAGTTTGGAAAGACTCTGTCTGTAAAGTCTGCAAGTGATTAGTTAGACCCCTTTGAGGCCTTCGTTGGAAGCGGGATTTCTCATTTACTGCTAGACAGAAGAATTCTCAGTAAATCCTTTGTGTTGTGTGTATTCAACTCACAGAGTGGAACCTTCCTTTATTCAGAGCAGTTTTGAAAAACACTTTTCGTGGAATTTGCAAGTGGAGATTTCAAGCGATTTGACGCCAATCTTAGACATGGAAATATCTTCATATTAAAAGTACACAGAGTCATTCGTAGAAACTAGTTTGTGATGTGTGCCTTCAACTCACAGAGTTTAACCTTTCTTTTCATAGAGCAGTTTGGAAACACTCTATTTGTAAAGTCTGCAAGTGGATATTTGGACCTCTTTGAGGCCTTCGTTGGAAACGGGATTTCCTCATATAATGCTAGACAGAAGAATTCTCAGTAACTTCTTTGTGTTGTTTGTATTCAACACACAGATTTGAACCTTCCTTTAGAGAGAGCAGATTTGAAACACTCTGTTTTTGGAATTTGCAAGTGCAGATTTCAAGCGCTTCTAGGCCTATGGCAGAAAAGGAAATATCTTCGTATAAAAACTACACAGAATCATTCTCAACAACTACTTTGTGATGTGTGCGTTCAACTCACAGAGTTTAACCTTTCTTTTCATAGAGCAGTTTGGAAACACTCTGTTTGTAAAGCCTGCAAGTGCTTTTTTGGACTTCATTGAGGCCTTCGTTGGAAACGGGATTTCTTCATATAATGCTAGACAGAAGAATTCTCAGTCACTTCTTTGTGTTGTGTGTATTCAAGTCACAGAGTTGAACCTTCCTTTAGACAGAGCAGTTTTGAAAAATTCTTTCTGTGGAGTTTGCAAGTGGAGATTTCAAGCGATTTGAGGCTAATCTTTGAAATGGAAATATCTTCGTGTAAAAACTACACAGAATCATTCTCAGAAACTGCTTTGTCATCTGTGCGTTCAGTTCACAGAGTTTCACCTTTCTCTTCATAGAGCAGTTTGGAAAGACTCTGTCTGTAAAGTCTGCAAGTGATTAGTTAGAACCCTTTGAGGCCTTCGTTGGAAGTGGGATTTCTCATTTACTGCTAGACAGAAGAATTCTCAGTAAATCCTTTGTGTTGTGTGTATTCAACTCACAGAGTGGAACCTTCCTTTATTCAGAGCAGTTTTGAAACACTCTTTTTGTGGAATTTGCAAGTGGAGATTTCAAGCGATTTGACGCCAATCTTAGACATGGAAATATCTTCATATTAAAAGTACACAGAGTCATTCGTAGAAACTAGTTTGTGATGTGTGCCTTCAACTCACAGAGTTTAACCTTTCTTTTCATAGAGCAGTTGGGAAACACTCTATTTGTAAAGTCTGCAAGTGGATATTTGGACCTCTTTGAGGCCTTCGTTGGAAACGGGATTTCTTCATATAACGCTAGACAGAAGAATTCTCAGTAACTTCTTTGTGTTGTGTGTATTCAACTCACAGAGTTGAACCTTTCTTTAGAGGGAGCAGAGGTGAAACACTCTTTTTGTGGAATTTGCTAGTGTAGATTTCAAACGCTTCGAAGACAGTGATAGAAAAGGATATATCTTCGTATTAAAAGTAGACAAAATCATTCTCAGAAAACTCTTTGTGATGTGTGTGTTCAACTCACAGAGTTTAACCTTTCTTTAATCGAGCAGTTTGGAAATACACTCTTTGTAAGTCTGCAGGTGGATATTTGGCCCTCTTTGAGCCCTTCGTTGGAAACGGGATTTCCTCATATAATGCTAGACAGAAGAATTCTCAGTAACTTCTTTGTGTTGTTTGTATTCAACACACAGATTTGAACCTTCCTTTAGAGAGAGCAGATTTGAAACACTCTGTTTTTGGAATTTGCAAGTGCAGATTTCAAGCGCTTCTAGGCCTATGGCAGAAAAGGAAATATCTTCGTATAAAAACTACACAGAATCATTCTCAACAACTACTTTGTGATGTGTGCGTTCAACTCACAGAGTTTAACCTTTCTTTTCATAGAGCAGTTTGGAAACACTCTGTTTGTAAAGCCTGCAAGTGCTTTTTTGGACTTCATTGAGGCCTTCGTTGGAAACGGGATTTCTTCATATAATGCTAGACAGAAGAATTCTCAGTCACTTCTTTGTGTTGTGTGTATTCAAGTCACAGAGTTGAACCTTCCTTTAGACAGAGCAGTTTTGAAAAATTCTTTCTGTGGAGTTTGCAAGTGGAGATTTCAAGCGATTTGAGGCTAATCTTTGAAATGGAAATATCTTCGTGTAAAAACTACACAGAATCATTCTCAGAAACTGCTTTGTCATCTGTGCGTTCAGTTCACAGAGTTTCACCTTTCTCTTCATAGAGCAGTTTGGAAAGACTCTGTCTGTAAAGTCTGCAAGTGATTAGTTAGACCCCTTTGAGGCCTTCGTTGGAAGCGGGATTTCTCATTTACTGCTAGACAGAACAATTCTCAGTAAATCCTTTGTGTTGTGTGTATTCAACTCACAGAGTGGAACCTTCCTTTATTCAGAGCAGTTTTGAAACACTCTTTTTGTGGAATTTGCAAGTGGAGATTTCAAGCGATTTGACGCCAATCTGAGACATGGAAATATCTTCATATTAAAAGTACACAGAGTCATTCGTAGAAACTAGTTTGTGATGTGTGCCTTCAACTCACAGAGTTTAACCTTTCTTTTCATAGAGCAGTTGGGAAACACTCTATTTGTAAAGTCTGCAAGTGGATATTTGGACCTCTTTGAGGCCTTCGTTGGAAACGGGATTTCTTCATATAACGCTAGACAGAAGAATTCTCAGTAACTTCTTTGTGTTGTGTGTATTCAACTCACAGAGTTGAACCTTTCTTTAGAGGGAGCAGAGGTGAAACACTCTTTTTGTGGAATTTGCTAGTGTAGATTTCAAACGCTTCGAAGACAGTGATAGAAAAGGATATATCTTCATATTAAAAGTAGACAAAATCATTCTCAGAAAACTCTTTGTGATGTGTGTGTTCAACTCACAGAGTTTAACCTTTCTTTAATCGAGCAGTTTGGAAATACACTCTTTGTAAGTCTGCAGGTGGATATTTGGCCCTCTTTGAGCCCTTCGTTGGAAACGGGATTTCCTCATATAATGCTAGACAGAAGAATTCTCAGTAACTTCTTTGTGTTGTTTGTATTCAACACACAGATTTGAACCTTCCTTTAGAGAGAGCAGATTTGAAACACTCTGTTTTTGGAATTTGCAAGTGCAGATTTCAAGCGCTTCTAGGCCTATGGCAGAAAAGGAAATATCTTCGTATAAAAACTACACAGAATCATTCTCAACAACTACTTTGTGATGTGTGCGTTCAACTCACAGAGTTTAACCTTTCTTTTCATAGAGCAGTTTGGAAACACTCTGTTTGTAAAGCCTGCAAGTGCTTTTTTGGACTTCATTGAGGCCTTCGTTGGAAACGGGATTTCTTCATATAATGCTAGACAGAAGAATTCTCAGTCACTTCTTTGTGTTGTGTGTATTCAAGTCACAGAGTTGAACCTTCCTTTAGACAGAGCAGTTTTGAAAAATTCTTTCTGTGGAGTTTGCAAGTGGAGATTTCAAGCGATTTGAGGCTAATCTTTGAAATGGAAATATCTTCGTGTAAAAACTACACAGAATCATTCTCAGAAACTGCTTTGTCATCTGTGCGTTCAGTTCACAGAGTTTCACCTTTCTCTTCATAGAGCAGTTTGGAAAGACTCTGTCTGTAAAGTCTGCAAGTGATTAGTTAGACCCCTTTGAGGCCTTCGTTGGAAGCAGGGATTTCTCATTTACTGCTAGACAGAAGAATTCTCAGTAAATCCTTCGTGTTGTGTGTATTCAACTCACAGAGTGGAACCTTCCTTTATTCAGAGCAGTTTTGAAACACTCTTTTTGTGGAATTTGCAAGTGGAGATTTCAAGCGAATTCACGCCAATCTTAGACATGGAAACATCTTCGTATTAAAAGTACACAGAGTCATTCGCAGAAACTAGTTTGTGATGTGTGCCTTCAACTCACAGAGTTTAAGCTTTCTTTTCATAGAGCAGTTTGGAAACACTCTATTTGTATAGTCTGCAAGTGGATATTTGGACCTCTTTGAGGCCTTCGTTGGAAACGGGATTTCTTCATATAACGCTAGACAGAAGAATTCTCTGTAACTTCTTTGTGTTGTGTGTATTCCACTCACAGAGTTGAACCTTTCTTGAGAGAGAGCAGAGTTGAAACACTCTGTTTGTGGAATTTGCTAGTGCAGATTTCAAACGCTTCGAAGACAGTGATAGAAAAGGATATATCTTCGTATTAAAACTAGACAAAATCATTCTCAGAAAACACTTTGTGATGTGTGTGTTCAACTCACAGAGTTTAACCTTTCTTTAATCGAGCAGTTTGGAAATGCACTCTTTGTAAGTCTGCAGGTGGATAATTGTCCCTCTATGAGCCCTTCGTTGGAAACGGGATTTCCTCATATAATGCTAGACAGAAGTATTCTCAGTAACTTCTTTGTGTTGTTTGTATTCAACTCACAGATTTGAAACTTCCTTTAGAGAGAGCAGATTTGAAACACTCTGTTTTTGGAATTTGCAAGTGCAGATTGCAAGCGCTTCTAGGCCTATGGCAGAAAAGGAAATATCTTCGTATAAAAACTACACAGAATCATTCTCAGAAAACTCTTTGTGATGTGTGTGTTCAACTCACAGAGTTTAACCTTTCTTTAATCGAGCAGTTTGGAAATACACTCTTTGTAAGTCTGCAGGTGGATATTTGTCCCTCTTTGAGCCCTTCGTTGGAAACGGGATTTCCTCATATAATGCTAGACAGAAGAATTCTCAGTAACTTCTTTGTGTTGTTTGTATTCAACACACAGATTTGAACCTTCCTTTAGAGAGAGCAGATTTGAAACACTCTGTTTTTGGAATTTGCAAGTGCAGATTTCAAGCGCTTCTAGGCCTATGGCAGAAAAGGAAATATCTTCGTATAAAAACTACACAGAATCATTCTCAACAACTACTTTGTGATGTGTGCGTTCAACTCACAGAGGTTAACCTTTCTTTTCAGAGAGCAGTTTGGAAACACTCTGTTTGTAAAGCCTGCAAGTGCTTTTTTGGACTTCATTGAGGCCTTCGTTGGAAACGGGATTTCTTCATACAACGCTAGACAGAAGAATTCTCAGTAACTTCTTTGTGTTGTGTGTATTCAACTCACAGAGTTGAACCTTTCTTTAGAGAGAACAGAGTTGAAACACTCTGTTTTTGGAATTTGCAAGTGCAGATTTCAAGCGATTCTAGGCCTATGGCAGAAAAGGAAATATCTTCGTAGAAAAACTACACAGAATCATTCTCAACAACTACTTTGTGATGTGTGCGTTCAACTCACAGAGTTTAACCTTTCTTTTCATAGAGCAGTTTGGAAACACTCTGTTTGTAAAGCCTGCAAGTGCTTTTTTGGACTTCATTGAGGCCTTCGTTGGAAACGGGATTTCTTCATATAACGCTAGACAGAAGAATTCTCAGTCACTTCTTTGTGTTGTGTGTATTCAAGTCACAGAGTTGAACCTTCCTTTAGACAGAGCAGTTTTGAAAAATTCTTTCTGTGGAATTTGCAAGTGGAGATTTCAAGCGATTTGAGGCTAATCTTTGAAATGGAAATATCTTCGTGTAAAAACTACACAGAATCATTCTCAGAAACTGCTTTGTCATCTGTGCGTTCAGTTCACAGAGTTTCACCTTTCTCTTCATAGAGCAGTTTGGAAAGACTCTGTCTGTAAAGTCTGCAAGTGACTAGTTAGACCCCTTTGAGGCCTTCGTTGGAAGCGGGATTTCTCATTTACTGCTAGACAGAAGAATTCTCAGTAAATCCTTTGTGTTGTGTGTATTCAACTCACAGAGTGGAACCTTCCTTTATAAAGAGCAGTTTTGAAAAACACTTTTTGTGGAATTTGCAAGTGGAGATTTCAAGCGATTTGACGCCAATCTTAGACAGAGAAATATCTTCATATTAAAAGTACACAGAGTCATTCGTAGAAACTAGTTTGTGATGTGTGCCTTCAACTCACAGAGTTTAACCTTTCTTTTCATAGAGCAGTTGGGAAACACTCTATTTGTAAAGTCTGCAAGTGGATATTTGGACCTCTTTGAGGCCTTCTTTGGAAACGGGATTTCTTCATATAACGCTAGACAGAAGAATTCTCAGTAACTTCTTTGTGTTGTGTGTATTCAACTCACAGAGTTGAACCTTTCTTTAGAGGGAGCAGAGGTGAAACACTCTTTTTGTGGAATTTGCTAGTGTAGATTTCAAACGCTTCGAAGACAGTGATAGAAAAGGATATATCTTCGTATTAAAAGTAGACAAAATCATTCTCAGAAAACTCTTTGTGATGTGTGTGTTCAACTCACAGAGTTTAACCTTTCTTTTCATAGAGCAGTTTGGAAACACTCTGTTTGTAAAGCCTGCAAGTGCTTTTTTGGACTTCATTGAGGCCTTCGTTGGAAACGGGATTTCTTCATACAACGCTAGACAGAAGAATTCTCAGTAACTTCTTTGTGTTGTGTGTATTCAACTCACAGAGTTGAACCTTTCTTTAGAGAGACCATAGTTGAAACACTCTGTTTTTGGAATTTGCAAGTGCAGATTTCAAGCGCTTCTAGGCCTATGGCAGAAAAGGAAATATCTTCGTATAAAAACTACACAGAATCATTCTCAACAACTACTTTGTGATGTGTGCGTTCAACTCACAGAGTTTAACCTTTCTTTTCATAGAGCAGTTTGGAAACACTCTGTTTGTAAAGCCTGCAAGTGCTTTTTTGGACTTCATTGAGGCCTTCGTTGGAAACGGGATTTCTTCATATAATGCTAGACAGAAGAATTCTCAGTCACTTCTTTGTGTTGTGTGTATTCAAGTCACAGAGTTGAACCTTCCTGTAGACAGAGCAGTTTTGAAAAATTCTTTCTGTGGAATTTGCAAGTGGAGATTTCAAGCGATTTGAGGCTAATCTTTGAAATGGAAATATCTTCGTGTAAAAACTACACAGAATCATTCTCAGAAACTGCTTTGTCATCTGTGCGTTCAGTTCACAGAGTTTCACCTTTCTCTTCATAGAGCAGTTTGGAAAGACTCTGTCTGTAAAGTCTGCAAGTGATTAGTTAGACCCCTTTGAGGCCTTCGTTGGAAGCGGGATTTCTCATTTACTGCTAGACAGAAGAATTCTCAGTAAATCCTTTGTGTTGTGTGTATTCAACTCACAGAGTGGAACCTTCCTTTATTCAGAGCAGTTTTGAAAAACACTTTTTGTGGAATTTGCAAGTGGAGATTTCAAGCGATTTGACGCCAATCTTAGACATGGAAATATCTTCATATTAAAAGTACACAGAGTCATTCGTAGAAACTAGTTTGTGATGTGTGCCTTCAACTCACAGAGTTTAACCTTTCTTTTCATAGAGTAGTTTGGAAACACTCTATTTGTAAAGTCTGCAAGTGGATATTTGGACCTCTTTGAGGCCTTCGTTCGAAAAGGGATTTCTTCATACAACGCTAGACAGAAGAATTCTCAGTAACTTCTTTGTGTTGTGTGTATTCAACTCACAGAGTTGAACCTTTCTTTAGAGAGAGCAGAGTTGAAAAACTGTGTTTTTGGAATTTGCAAGTGCAGATTTCAAGCGATTCTAGGCCTATGGCAGAAAAGGAAATATCTTCGTATAAAAACTACACAGAATCATTCTCAACAACTACTTTGTGATGTGTGCGTTCAACTCACAAAGTTTAACCTTTCTTTTCATAGAGAAGTTTGGAAACACTCTGTTTGTAAAGCCTGCAAGTGCTTTTTTGGACTTCATTGAGGCCTTCGTTGGAAACGGGATTTCTTCATATAATGCTAGACAGAAGAATTCTCAGTAAATCCTTTGTGTTGTGTTTATTCAACTCACAGAGTGGAACCTTCCTTTATTCAGAGCAGTTTTGAAACACTCTTTTTGTGGAATTTGCAAGTGGAGATTTCAAGCGATTTGACGCCAATCTTAGACATGGAAATATCTTCATATTAAAAGTACACAGAATCATTCGTAGAAACTAGTTTGTGTTGTGTGCCTTCAACTCACAGAGTTTAACCTTTCTTTTCATAGAGCAGTTCGGAAACATTCTATTTGTAAAGTCTGCAAGTGGATATTTGGAACTCTTTGAGGCCTTCGTTGGAAAAGGGATTTCTTCATATAACGCTAGACAGAAGAATTCTCAGTAACTTCTTTGTGTTGTTTGTATTCAACACACAGGATTTGAACCTTCCTTTAGAGAGAGCAGATTTGAAACACTCTGTTTTTGGAATTTGCAAGTGCAAATTTCAAGCGCTTCTAGGCCTATGGCAGCAAAGGAAATATCTTCGTATAAAAACTACACAGAATCATTCTCAACAGCTACTTTGTGATGTGTGCGTTCAACTCACAGAGTTTAACCTTTCTTTTCATAGAGCAGTTTGGAAACACTCTGTTTGTAAAGCCTGCAAGTGCTTTTTTGGACTTCATTGAGGCCTTCGTTGGAAACGGGATTTCTTCATATAATGCTAGACAGAAGAATTCTCAGTCACTTCTTTGTGTTGTGTGTATTCAAGTCACAGAGTTGAACCTTCCTTTAGACAGAGCAGTTTTGAAAAATTCTTTCTGTGGAGTTTGCAAGTGGAGATTTCAAGCGATTTGAGGCTAATCTTTGAAATGGAAATATCTTCGTGTAAAAACTACACAGAATCATTCTCAGAAACTGCTTTGTCATCTGTGCGTTCAGTTCACAGAGTTTCACCTTTCTCTTCATAGAGCAGTTTGGAAAGACTCTGTCTGTAAAGTCTGCAAGTGATTAGTTAGACCCCTTTGAGGCCTTCGTTGGAAGCGGGATTTCTCATTTACTGCTAGACAGAAGAATTCTCAGTAAATCCTTTGTGTTATGTGTATTCAACTCACAGAGTGGAACCTTCCTTTATTCAGAGCAGTTTTGAAAAACACTTTTTGTGGAATTTGCAAGTGGAGATTTCAAGCTGATTTTACGCCAATCTTAGACATGGAAATATCTTCATATTAAAAGTACACAGAGTCATTCGTAGAAACTAGTTTGTGATGTGTGCCTTCAACTCACAGAGTTTAACCTTTCTTTTCATAGAGCAGTTTGGAAACACTCTATTTGTAAAGTCTGCAAGTGGATATTTGGACCTCTTTGAGGCCTTCGTTGGAAACGGGATTTCTTCATACAACGCTAGACAGAAGAATTCTCAGTAACTTCTTTGTGTTGTGTGTATTCAACTCACAGAGTTGAACCTTTCTTTAGAGAGAGCAGAGTTGAAACACTCTGTTTTTGGAATTTGCAAGTGCAGATTTCAAGCGATTCTAGGCCTATGGCAGAAAAGGAAATATCTTCGTATAAAAACTACACAGAATCATTCTCAACAACTACTTTGTGATGTGTGCGTTCAACTCACAAAGTTTAACCTTTCTTTTCATAGAGCAGTTTGGAAACACGCTGTTTGCAAAGCCTGCAAGTGGATATTTGGACTTCATTGAGGCCTTCGTTGGAAACGGGATTTCTTCATATAATGCTAGACAGAAGAATTCTCAGTAAATCCTTTGTGTTGTGTGTATTCAACTCACAGAGTGGAACCTTCCTTTATTCAGAGCAGTTTTGAAACACTCTTTTTGTGGAATTTGCAAGTGGAGATTTCAAGCGATTTGACGCCAATCTTAGACATGGAAATATCTTCATATTAAAAGTACACAGAGTCATTCGTAGAAACTAGTTTGTGATGTGTGCCTTCAACTCACAGAGTTTAACCTTTCTTTTCATAGAGCAGTTGGGAAACACTCTATTTGTAAAGTCTGCAAGTGGATATTTGGACCTCTTTGAGGCCTTCGTTGGAAACGGGATTTCTTCATATAACGCTAGACAGAAGAATTCTCAGTAACTTCTTTGTGTTGTGTGTATTCAACTCACCGAGTTGAACCTTTCTTTAGAGGGAGCAGAGGTGAAACACTCTTTTTGTGGAATTTGCTAGTGTAGATTTCAAACGCTTCGAAGACAGTGATAGAAAAGGATATATCTTCGTATTAAAAGTAGACAAAATCATTCTCAGCAAAACTCTTTGTGATGTGTGTGTTCAACTCACAGAGTTTAACCTTTCTTTTCATAGAGCAGTTTGGAAACACTCTGTTTGTAAAGCCTGCAAGTGCTTTTTTGGACTTCATTGAGGCCTTCGTTGGAAACGGGATTTCTTCATACAACGCTAGACAGAAGAATTCTCAGTCACTTCTTTGTGTTGTGTGTATTCAAGTCACAGAGTTGAACCTTCCTTTACACAGAGCAGTTTTGAAAAACTCTTTCTGTGGAATTTGCAAGTGGAGATTTCAAGCGATTTGAGGCTAATCTTTGAAATGGAAATAGCTTCGTGTAAAAACTACACAGAATCATTCTCAGAAACTGCTTTGTTATGTGTGCGTTCAGCTCACAGAGTTCCACCTTTCTTTTCATAGAGCAGTTTGGAAAGACTCTGTCTGTAAAGTCTGCAAGTGATTACTTGGACCCCTTTGAGGACTTCGTTGGAAGCGGGAATTTTTCATTTACTGCTAGACAGAAGAATTCTCAGTAAATCCTTTGTGTTGTGTGTATTCAACTCACAGAGTTGAACCTTCCTTTATTCAGAGCAGTTTTGAAACACTCTTTTCGTGGAATTTGCAAGTGGAGATTTCAAGGGATTTCACGCCAATCTTAGACATGGAAATATCTTCGTATTTAAAGTACACAGAGTCATTCGTAGAAACTAGTTTGTGATGTGTGCCTTCAACTCACAGAGTTTAACCTTTCTTTTCATAGAGCAGTTTGGAAACACTCTATTTGTAAAGTCTGCAAGTGGATATTTGGACCTCTTTGAGGCCTTCGTTGGAAACGGGATTTCTTCATACAACGCTAGACAGAAGAATTCTCAGTAACTTCTTTGTGTTGTGTGTATTCAACTCACAGAGTTGAACCTTTCTTTAGAGAGAGCAGAGTTGAAACACTCTGTTTTTGGAATTTGCAACTGCAGATTTCAAGCGATTCTAGGCCTATGGCAGAAAAGGAAATATCTTCGTATAAAAACTACACAGAATCATTCTCAACAACTACTTTGTGATGTGTGCGTTCAACTCACAGGAGTTTAACCTTTCTTTTCATAGAGCAGTTTGGAAACACTCTGTTTGTAAAGCCTGCAAGTGCCTTTTTGGACTTCATTGAGGCCTTCGTTGGAAACGGGATTTCTTCATATAATGCTAGACAGAAGAATTCTCAGTCACTTCTTTGTGTTGTGTGTATTCAAGTCACAGAGTTGAACCTTCCTTTAGACAGAGCAGTTTTGAAAAATTCTTTCTGTGTAATTTGCAAGTGGAGATTTCAAGCGATTTGAGGCTAATCTTTGAAATGGAAATATCTTCGTGTAAAAACTACACAGAATCATTCTCAGAAAATGCTTTGTCATCTGTGCGTTCAGATCACAGAGTTTCACCTTTCTCTTCATAGAGCAGTTTGGAAAGACTCTGTCTGTAAAGTCTGCAAGTGATTAGTTAGACCCCTTTGAGGCCTTCGTTGGAAGCGGGATTTCTCATTTACTGCTAGACAGAAGAATTCTCAGTAAATCCTTTGTGTTGTGTGTATTCAACTCACAGAGTGGAACCTTCCTTTATTCAGAGCAGTTTTGAAACACTCTTTTTGTGGAATTTGCAAGTGGAGATTTCAAGCGATTTGACGCCAATCTTAGACATGGAAATATCTTCATATTAAAAGTACACAGAGTCATTCGTAGAAACTAGTTTGTGATGTGTGCCTTCAACTCACAGAGTTTAACCTTTCTTTTCATAGAGCAGTTGGGAAACACTCTATTTGTAAAGTCTGCAAGTGGATATTTGGACCTCTTTGAGGCCTTCGTTGGAAACGGGATTTCTTCATATAACGCTAGACAGAAGAATTCTCAGTAACTTCTTTGTGTTGTGTGTATTCAACTCACAGAGTTGAACCTTTCTTTAGAGGGAGCAGAGGTGAAACACTCTTTTTGTGGAATTTGCTAGTGTAGATTTCAAACGCTTCGAAGACAGTGATAGAAAAGGATATATCTTCGTATTAAAAGTAGACAAAATCATTCTCAGAAAACTCTTTGTGATGTGTGTGTTCAACTCACAGAGTTTAACCTTTCTTTAATCGAGCAGTTTGGAAATACACTCTTTGTAAGTCTGCAGGTGGATATTTGGCCCTCTTTGAGCCCTTCGTTGGAAACGGGATTTCCTCATATAATGCTAGACAGAAGAATTCTCAGTAACTTCTTTGTGTTGTTTGTATTCAACACACAGATTTGAACCTTCCTTTAGAGAGAGCAGATTTGAAACACTCTGTTTTTGGAATTTGCAAGTGCAGATTTCAAGCGATTCTAGGCCTATGGCAGAAAAGGAAATATCTTCGTATAAAAACTACACAGAATCATTCTCAACAACTACTTTGTGATGTGCGCGTTCAACTCACAGAGTTTAACCTTTCTTTTCAGAGAGCAGTTTGGAAACACTCTGTTTGTAAAGCCTGCAAGTGCTTTTTTGGACTTCATTGAGGCCTTCGTTGGAAACGGGATTTCTTCATATAATGCTAGACAGAAGAATTCTCAGTCACTTCTTTGTGTTGTGTGTATTCAAGTCACAGAGTTGAACCTTCCTTTAGACAGAGCAGTTTTGAAAAATTCTTTCTGTGGAGTTTGCAAGTGGAGATTTCAAGCGATTTGAGGCTAATCTTTGAAATGGAAATATCTTCGTGTAAAAACTACACAGAATCATTCTCAGAAACTGCTTTGTCATCTGTGCGTTCAGTTCACAGAGTTTCACCTTTCTCTTCATAGAGCAGTTTGGAAAGACTCTGTCTGTAAAGTCTGCAAGTGATTAGTTAGACCCCTTTGAGGCCTTCGTTGGAAGCGGGATTTCTCATTTACTGCTAGACAGAAGAATTCTCAGTAAATCCTTTGTGTTGTGTGTATTCAACTCACAGAGTGGAACCTTCCTTTATTCAGAGCAGTTTTGAAAAACACTTTTTGTGGAATTTGCAAATGGAGATTTCAAGCGATTTGACGCCAATCTTAGACATGGAAATATCTTCATATTAAAAGTACACAGAGTCATGCGTAGAAACTAGTTTGTGATGTGTGCCTTCAACTCACAGAGTTTAACCTCTCTTTTCATAGAGCAGTTTGGAAACACTCTGTTTGTAAAGCCTGCAAGTGCTTTTTTGGACTTCATTGAGGCCTTCGTTGGAAACGGGATTTCTTCATACAACGCTAGACAGAAGTATTCTCAGTAACTTCTTTGTGTTGTGTGTATTCAACTCACAGAGTTGAAACTTTCTTTAGAGAGAGCAGAGTTGAAACACTCTGTTTTTGGAATTTGCAAGGGCAGATTTGAAGCGCTTCTAGGCCTATGGCAGAAAAGGAAATATCTTCGTATAAAAACTACACAGAATCATTCTCACCAACTACTTTGTGATGTGTGCGTTCAACTCACAGAGTTTAACCTTTCTTTTCATAGAGCAGTTTGGAAACACTCTGTTTGTAAAGTCTGCAGGTGCTTATTTGGACTTCTTTGAGGCCTTCGTTGGAAACGGGATTTCTTCATATAATGCTAGACAGAAGAATTCTCAGTCACTTCTTTGTGTTGTGTGTATTCAAGTCACAGAGTTGAACCTTCCTTTACACAGAGCAGTTTTGAAAAACTCTTCCTGTGGAATTTGCAAGTGGAGATTTCAAGCGATTTGAGGCTAATCTTTGAAATGGAAATATCTTCGTGTAAAAACTACACAGAATCATTCTCAGAAACTGCTTTGTTATGTGTGCGTTCAGCTCACAGAGTTCCACCTTTCTTTTCATAGAGCAGTTTGGAAAGACTCTGTCTGTAAAGTCTGCAAGTGATTACTTGGACCCCTTTGAGGACTTCGTTGGAAGCGGGATTTTTTCATTTACTGCTAGACAGAAGAATTCTCAGTAAATCCTTTGTGTTGTGTGTATTCAACTCACAGAGTGGAACCTTCCTTTATTCAGAGCAGTTTTGAAACACTCTTTTTGTGGAATTTGCAAGTGGAGATTTCAAGCGAATTCACGCCAATCTTAGACATGGAAACATCTTCGTATTAAAAGTACACAGAGTCATTCGCAGAAACTAGTTTGTGATGTGTGCCTTCAACTCACGGAGTTTAACCTTTCTTTTCATAGAGCAGTTTGGAAACACTCTATTTGTAAAGTCTGCAAGTGGATATTTGGACCTCTTTGAGGCCTTCGTTGGAAACGGGATTTCTTCATATAACGCTAGACAGAAGAATTCTCAGTAACTTCTTTGTGTTGTGTGTATTCCACTCACAGAGTTGAACCTTTCTTGAGAGAGAGCAGAGTTGAAACACTCTGTTTGTGGAATTTGCTAGTGCAGATTTCAAACACTTCGAAGACAGTGATAGAAAAGGATATATCTTCGTATTAAAACTAGACAAAATCATTCTCAACAACTACTTTGTGATGTGTGCGTTCAACTCACAGAGTTTAACCTTTCTTTTCATAGAGCAGTTTGGAAACACTCTGTTTGTAAAGTCTGCAGGTGCTTATTTGGACTTCTTTGAGGCCTTCGTTGGAAACGGGATTTCTTCATATAATGCTAGACAGAAGAATTCTCAGTAAAACCTTTGTGTTGTGTGTATTCAACTCACAGAGTGGAACCTTCCTTTATTCAGAGCAGTTTTGAAAAACACTTTTTGTGGAATTTGCAAATGGAGATTTCAACCGATTTGACGGCAATCTTAGACATGGAAATATCTTCATATTAAAAGTACACAGAATCATTCTCAGAAACTGCTTTGTTATGTGTGCGTTCAGCTCACAGAGTTCCACCTTTCTTTTCATAGAGCAGTTTGGAAAGACTCTGTCTGTAAAGTCTGCAAGTGATTACTTGGACCCCTTTGAGGACTTCGTTGGAAGCGGGATTTTTTCATTTACTGCTAGACAGAAGAATTCTCAGTAAATCCTTTGTGTTGTGTGTATTCAACTCACAGAGTGGAACCTTCCTTTATTCAGAGCAGTTTTGAAACACTCTTTTTGTGGAATTTGCAAGTGGAGATTTCAAGCGAATTCACGCCAATCTTAGACATGGAAACATCTTCGTATTAAAAGTACACAGAGTCATTCGCAGAAACTAGTTTGTGATGTGTGCCTTCAACTCACGGAGTTTAACCTTTCTTTTCATAGAGCAGTTTGGAAACACTCTATTTGTAAAGTCTGCAAGTGGATATTTGGACCTCTTTGAGGCCTTCGTTGGAAACGGGATTTCTTCATATAACGCTAGACAGAAGAATTCTCAGTAACTTCTTTGTGTTGTGTGTATTCCACTCACAGAGTTGAACCTTTCTTGAGAGAGAGCAGAGTTGAAACACTCTGTTTGTGGAATTTGCTAGTGCAGATTTCAAACGCTTTGAAGACAGTGATAGAAAAGGATATATCTTCGTATTAAAACTAGACAAAATCATTCTCAGAAAACACTTTGTGATGTGTGTGTTCAACTCACAGAGTTTAACCTTTCTTTAATCGAGCAGTTTGGAAATACACTCTTTGTAAGTCTGCAGCTGGATAATTGTCCCTCTATGAGCCCTTCGTTGGAAACGGGATTTCCTCTTATAATGCTAGACAGAAGAATTCTCAGTAACTTCTTTGTGTTGTTTGTATTCAACTCACAGATTTGAACCTTCCTTTAGAGAGAGCAGATTTGAAACACTCTGTTATTGGAATTTGCAAGTGCAGATTACAATCGCTTCTAGGCCTATGGCAGAAAAGGAAATATCTTCGTATAAAAACTACACAGAATCATTCTCAACAACTACTTTGTGATGTGTGCGTTCAACTCACAGAGTTTAACCTTTCTTTTCATAGAGCAGTTTGGAAACACTCTGTTTGTAAAGTCTGCAGGTGCTTATTTGGACTTCTTTGAGGCCTTCGTTGGAAACGGGATTTCTTCATATAATGCTAGACAGAAGAATTCTCAGTCACTTCTTTGTGTTGTGTGTATTCAAGTCACAGAGTTGAACCTTCCTTTACACAGAGCAGTTTTGAAAAACTCTTTCTGTGGAATTTGCAAGTGGAGATTTCAAGCGATTTGAGGCTAATCTTTGAAATGGAAATAGCTTCGTGTAAAAACAACACAGAATCATTCTCAGAAACTGCTTTGTTATGTGTGCGTTCAGCTCACAGAGTTCCACCTTTCTTTTCATAGAGCAGTTTGGAAAGACTCTGTCTGTAAAGTCTGCAAGTGATTACTTGGACCCCTTTGAGGACTTCGTTGGAAGCGGGATTTTTTCATTTACTGCTAGACAGAAGAATTCTCAGTAAATCCTTTGTGTTGTGTGTATTCAACTCACAGAGTGGAACCTTCCTTTATTCAGAGCAGTTTTGAAACACTCTTTTTGTGGAATTTGCAAGTGGAGATTTCAAGCGAATTCACGCCAATCTTAGACATGGAAACATCTTCGTATTAAAAGTACACAGAGTCATTCGCAGAAACTAGTTTGTGATGTGTGCCTTCAACTCACGGAGTTTAACCTTTCTTTTCATAGAGCAGTTTGGAAACACTCTATTTGTAAAGTCTGCAAGTGGATATTTGGACCTCTTTGAGGCCTTCGTTGGAAACGGGATTTCTTCATATAACGCTAGACAGAAGAATTCTCAGTAACTTCTTTGTGTTGTGTGTATTCAACTCACAGAGTTGAACCTTTCTTGAGAGAGAGCAGAGTTGAAACACTCTGTTTGTGGAATTTGCTAGTGCAGATTTCAAACGCTTCGAAGACAGTGATAGAAAAGGATATATCTTCGTATTAAAACTAGACAAAATCATTCTCAGAAAACACTTTGTGATGTGTGTGTTCAACTCACAGAGTTTAACCTTTCTTCAATCGAGCAGTTTGGAAATACACTCTTTGTAAGTCTGCAGCTGGATAATTGTCCCTCTATGAGCCCTTCGTTGGAAACGGGATTTCCTCTTATAATGCTAGACAGAAGAATTCTCAGTAAATTCTTTGTGTTGTTTGTATTCAACTCACAGATTTGAACCTTCCTTTAGAGAGAGCAGATTTGAAACACTCTGTTTTCGGAATTTGCAAGTGTAGATTACAAGCGCTTCTAGGCCTATGGCAGAAAAGGAAATATCTTCGTATAAAAACTACACAGAATCATTCTCAGAAAACACTTTGTGATGTGTGTGTTCAACTCACAGAGTTTAACCTTTCTGTAATCGAGCAGTTTGGAAATACACTCTTTGTAAGTCTGCAGGTGGATAATTGTCCCTCTATGAGCCCTTCGTTGGAAACGGGATTTCCTCATATAATGCTAGACAGAAGAATTCTCAGTAACTTCTTTGTGTTGTTTGTATTCAACTCACAGATTTGAACTTTCCTTTAGAGAGAGCAGATTTGAAACACTCTGCTTTTGGAAATTGTAAGTGCAGATTACAAGCGCTTCTAGGCCTATGGCAGAAAAGGAAATATCTTCGTGTAAAAACTACACAGAATCATTCTCAACAACTACTTTGTGATGTGTGCATTCAACTCACAGAGTTTAACCTTTCTTTTCATAGAGCAGTTTGGAAACACTCTGTTTGTAAAGTCTGCAGGTGCTTATTTGGACTTCTTTGAGGCCTTCGTTGGAAACGGGATTTCTTCATATAATGCTAGACAGAAGAATTCTCAGTCACTTCTTTGTGTTGTGTGTATTCAAGTCACAGAGTTGAACCTTCCTTTACACAGAGCAGTTTTGAAAAACTCTTTCTGTGGAATTTGCAAGTGGAGATTTCAAGCGATTTGAGGCTAATCTTTGAAATGGAAATATCTTCGTGTAAAAACTACACAGAATCATTCTCAGCAACTGCTTTGTTATGTGTGCGTTCAGCTCGCAGAGTTCCACCTTTCTTTTCATAGAGCAGTTTGGAAAGACTCTGTCTGTAAAGTCTGCAAGTGATTACTTGGACCCCTTTGAGGACTTCGTTGGAAGCGGGATTTTTTCATTTACTGCTAGACAGAAGAATTCTCAGTAAATCCTTTGTGTTGTGTGTATTCAACTCACAGAGTGGAACCTTCCTTTATTCAGAGCAGTTTTGAAACACTCTTTTTGTGGAATTTGCAAGTGGAGATTTCAAGCGAATTCACGCCAATCTTAGACATGGAAACATCTTCGTATTAAAAGTACACAGAGTCATTCGCAGAAACTAGTTTGTGATGTGTGCCTTCAACTCACAGAGTTTAACCTTTCTTTTCATAGAGCAGTTTGGAAACACTCTATTTGTAAAGTCTGCAAGTGGATATTTGGACCTCTTTGAGGCCTTCGTTGGAAACGGGATTTCTTCATATAACGCTAGACAGAAGAATTCTCAGAAACTTCTTTGTGTTGTGTGTATTCCACTCACAGAGTTGAACCTTTCTTGAGAGAGAGCAGAGTTGAAACACTCTGTTTGTGGAATTTGCAAGTGCAGATTGCAAGCGCTTCTAGGCCTATGGCAGAAAAGGAAATATCTTCGTATAAAAACTACACAGAATCATTCTCAACAACTACTTTGTGATGTGTGCGTTCAGCTCACAGAGTATAACCTTTCTTTTCATAGAGCAGTTTGGAAACACTCTGTTTGTAAAGTCTGCAGGTGCTTATTTGGACTTCTTTGAGGCCTTCGTTGGAAACGGGATTTCTTCATATAATGCTAGACAGAAGAATTCTCAGTCACTTCTTTGTGTTGTGTGTATTCAAGTCACAGAGTTGAACCTTCTTTTAGACAGAGCAGTTTTGAAAAATTCTTTCTGTGGAATTTGCAATTGGAGATTTTAAGAGATTTGAGGCTAATCTTTGAAATGGAAATATCTTCGTGTAAAAACTACACAGAATCATTCTCAGAAACTGCTTTGTTATCTGTGCGTTCAGTTCACAGAGTTTCACCTTTCTCTTCATAGAGCAGTTTGGAAAGACTCTGTAAAGTCTGCAAGTGATTAGTTAGACCCCATTGAGGCCTTCGTTGGAAGCGGGATTTCTCATTTACTGCTAGACAGAAGAATTCTCAGTAAATCCTTTGTGTTGTGTGTATTCAACTCACAGAGTGGAACCTTCCTTTATTCAGAGCAGTTTTGAAAAACACTTTTTGTGGAATTTGCAAGTGGAGATTTCAAGCGATTTGACGCCAATCTTAGACATGGAAATATCTTCATATTAAAAGTACACAGAGTCATTCGTAGAAACTAGTTTGTGATGTGTGCCTTCAACGCACAGAGTTTGACCTTTCTTTTCATAGAGCAGTTTGGAAACACTCTATTTGTAAAGTCTGCAAGTGGATATTTGGACCTCTTTGAGGCCTTCGTTCGAAAAGGGATTTCTTCATACAACGCTAGACAGAAGAATTCTCAGTAACTTCTTTGTGTTGTGTGTATTCAACTCACAGAGTTGAACCTTTCTTTAGAGAGAGCAGAGTTGAAACACTCTGTTTTTGGAATTTGCAAGTGCAGATTTCAAGCGATTCTAGGCCTATGGCAGAAAAGGAAATATGCTTCGTATAAAAACTACACAGAATCATTCTCAACAACTACTTTGTGATGTGTGCAGTTCAGCTCACAGAGTTTAACCTTTCTTTTCATAGAGCAGTTTGGAAACACTCTGTTTGTAAAGTCTGCAGGTGCTTATTTGGACTTCTTTGAGGCCTTCGTTGGAAACGGGATTTCTTCATATAATGCTAGACAGAAGAATTCTCAGTCACTTCTTTGTGTTGTGTGTATTCAAGTCACAGAGTTGAACCTTCCTTTACACAGAGCAGTTTTGAAAAACTCTTTCTGTGGAATTTGCAAGTGGAGATTTCAAGCGATTTGAGGCTAATCTTTGAAATGGAAATATCTTCGTGTAAAAACTACACAGAATCATTCTCAGAAACTGCTTTGTTATGTGTGCGTTCAGCTCACAGCGTTCCACCTTTCTTTTCGTAGAGCAGTTTGGAAAGACTCTGTCTGTAAAGTCTGCAAGTGATTACTTGGACACCTTTGAGGACTTCGTTGGAAGCGGGATTTTTTCATTTACTGCTAGACAGAAGAATTCTCAGTAAATCCTTTGTGTTGTGTGTATTCAACTCACAGAGTGGAACCTTCCTTTATTCAGAGCACTTTTGAAAAACTCTTTTTGTGGAATTTGCAAGTGGAGATTTCAAGCGAATTCACGCCAATCTTAGACATGGAAACATCTTCGTATTAAAAGTACACAGAGTCATTCGCAGAAACTAGTTTGTGATGTGTGCCTTCAACTCACGGAGTTTAACCTTTCTTTTCATAGAGCAGTTTGGAAACACTCTATTTGTAAAGTCTGCAAGTGGATATTTGGACCTCTTTGAGGCCTTCGTTGGAAACGGGATTTCTTCATATAACGCTAGACAGAAGAATTCTCAGTAACTTCTTTGTGTTGTGTGTTTTCAACTCACAGAGTTGAACCTTTCTTGAGAGAGAGCAGAGTTGAAACACTCTTTCTGTGGAATTTGCTAGTGCAGATTTCAAACGCTTCGAAGACAGTGATAGAAAAGGATATATCTTCGTATTAAAACTAGACAAAATCATTCTCAGAAAACACTTTGTGATGTGTGTGTTCAACTCACAGAGTTTAACCTTTCTTTAATCGAGCAGTTTGGAAATACACTCTTTGTAAGTCTGCAGCTGGATAATTGTCCCTCTATGAGCCCTTCGTTGGAAACGGGATTTCCTCTTATAATGCTAGACAGAAGAATTCTCAGTAACTTCTTTGTGTTGTTTGTATTCAACTCACAGATTTGAACCTTCCTTTGGAGAGAGCAGATTTGAAACACTCTGTTTTTGGAATTTGCAAGTGCAGATTGCAAGCGCTTCTAGGCCTATGGCAGAAAATTAAATATCTTCGTATAAAAACTACACAGAATCATTCTCAGAAAACACTTTGTGATGTGTGTGTTCAACTCACAGAGTTTAACCTTTCTTTAATCGAGCAGTTTGGAAATACACTCTTTGTAAGTCTGCAGCTGGATAATTGTCCCTCTATGAGCCCTTCGTTGGAAACGGGATTTCCTCATATAATGCTAGACAGAAGAATTCTCAGTAACTTCTTTGTGTTGTTTGTATTCAACTCACAGATTTGAACCTTCCTTTAGAGAGAGCAGATTTGAAACACTCTGTTTTTGGAATTTGCAAGTGCAGATTACAAGCGCTTCTAGGCCTATGGCAGAAAAGGAAATATCTTCGTATAAAAACTACACAGAATCGTTCTCAAAAACTACTTTGTGATGTGTGCGTTCAACTCACAGAGTTTAACCTTTCTTTTCATAGAGCAGTTTGGAAACACTCTGTTTGTAAAGTCTGCAGGTGCTTATTTGGACTTCTTTGAGGCCTTCGTTGGAAACGGGATTTCTTCATATAATGCTAGACAGAAGAATTCTCAGTCACTTCTTTGTGTTGTGTGTATTCAAGTCACAGAGTTGAACCTTCCTTTACACAGAGCAGTTTTGAAAAACTCTTTCTGTGGAATTTGCAAGTGGAGATTTCAAGCGATTTGAGGCTAATCTTTGAAATGGAAATAGCTTCGTGTAAAAACTACACAGAATCATTCTCAGAAACTGCTTTGTTATGTGTGCGTTCAGCTCACAGAGTTCCACCTTTCTTTTCATAGAGCAGTTTGGAAAGACTCTGTCTGTAAAGTCTGCAAGTGAATACTTGGACCCCTTTGAGGACTTCGTTGGAAGCGGGATTTTTTCATTTACTGCTAGACAGAAGAATTCTCAGTAAATCCTTTGTATTGTGTGTATTCAACTCACAGAGTGGAACCTTCCTTTATTCAGAGCAGTTTTGAAACACTCTTTTTGTGGAATTTGCAAGTGGAGATTTCAAGCGAATTCACGCCAATCTTAGACATGGAAACATCTTCGTATTAAAAGTACACAGAGTCATTCGCAGAAACTAGTTTGTGATGTGTGCCTTCAACTCACGGAGTTTAACCTTTCTTTTCATAGAGCAGTTTGGAAACACTCTATTTGTAAAGTCTGCAAGTGGATATTTGGACCTCTTTGAGGCCTTCGTTGGAAACGGGATTTCTTCATATAACGCTAGACAGAAGAATTCTCAGTAACTTCTTTGTGTTGTGTGTATTCCACTCACAGAGTTGAACCTTTCTTGAGAGAGAGCAGAGTGGAAACACTCTGTTTGTGGAATTTGCTAGTGCAGATTTCAAACGCTTCGAAGACAGTGATAGAAAAGGATATATCTTCGTATTAAAACTAGACAAAATCATTCTCAGAAAACACTTTGTGATGTGTGTGTTCAACTCACAGAGTTTAACCTTTCTTTAATCGAGCAGTTTGGAAATACACTCTTTGTAAGTCTGCAGCTGGATAATTGTCCCTCTATGAGCCCTTCGTTGGAAACGGGATTTCCTCTTATAATGCTAGACAGAAGAATTCTCAGTAACTTCTTTGTGTTGTTTGTATTCAACTCACAGATTTGAACCTTCCTTTAGAGAGAGCAGATTTGAAACACTCTGTTTTTGGAATTTGCAAGTGCAGATTAAAAGCGCTTCTAGGCCTATGGCAGAAAAGGAAATATCTTCGTATAAAAACTACACAGAATCATTCTCAACAACTACTTTGTGATGTGTGCGTTCAACTCACAGAGTTTAACCTTTCTTTTCATAGAGCAGTTTGGAAACACTCTGTTTGTAAAGTCTGCAGGTGCTTATTTGGACTTCTTTGAGGCCTTCGTTGGAAACGGGATTTCTTCATATAATGCTAGACAGAAGAATTCTCAGTCACTTCTTTGTGTTGTGTGTATTGAAGTCACAGAGTTGAACCTTCCATTACACAGAGCAGTTTTGAAAAACTCTTTCTGTGGAATTTGCAAGTGGAGATGTCAAGCGATTTGAGGCTAATCTTTGAAATGGAAATATCTTCGTGTAAAAACTACACAGAATCATTCTCAGAAACTGCTTTGTTATGTGTGCGTTCAGCTCACAGAGTTCCACCTTTCTTTTCATAGAGCAGTTTGGAAAGACTCTGTCTGTAAAGTCTGCAAGTGATTACTTGGACCCCTTTGAGGACTTCGTTGGAAGCGGGATTTTTTCATTTACTGCTAGACAGAAGAATTCTCAGTAAATCCTTTGTGTTGTGTGTATTCAACTCACAGAGTGGAACCTTCCTTTATTCAGAGCACTTTTGAAACACTCTTTTTGTGGAATTTGCAAGTGGAGATTTCAAGCGAATTCACGCCAATCTTAGACATGGAAACATCTTCGTATTAAAAGTACACAGAGTCATTCGCAGAAACTAGTTTGTGATGTGTGCCTTCAACTCACGGAGTTTAACCTTTCTTTTCATAGAGCAGTTTGGAAACACTCTATTTGTAAAGTCTGCAAGTGGATATTTGGACCTCTTTGAGGCCTTCGTTGGAAACGGGATTTCTTCATATAACGCTAGACAGAAGAATTCTCAGTAACTTCTTTGTGTTGTGTGTATTCAACTCACAGAGTTGAACCTTTCTTGAGAGAGAGCAGAGTTGAAACACTCTGTTTGTGGAATTTGCTAGTGCAGATTTCAAACGCTTCGAAGACAGTGATAGAAAAGGATATATCTTCGTATTAAAACTAGACAAAATCATTCTCAGAAAACACTTTGTGATGTGTGTGTTCAACTCACAGAGTTTAACCTTTCTTTAATCGAGCAGTTTGGAAATACACTCTTTGTAAGTCTGCAGCTGGATAATTGTCCCTCTATGAGCCCTTCGTTGGAAACGGGATTTCCTCTTATAATGCTAGACAGAAGAATTCACAGTAACTTCTTTGTATTGTTTGTATTCAACTCACAGATTTGAACCTTCCTTTAGAGAGAGCAGATTTGAAACACTCTGTTTTTGGAATTTGCAAGTGCAGATTACAAGCGCTTCTAGGCCTATGGCAGAAAAGGAAATATCTTCGTATAAAAACTACACAGAATCATTCTCAACAACTACTTTGTGATGTGTGCGTTCAACTCACAGAGTTTAACCTTTCTTTTCATAGAGCAGTTTGGAAACACTCTGTTTGTAAAGTCTGCAGGTGCTTATTTGGACTTCTTTGAGGCCTTCGTTGTAAACGGGATTTCTTCATGTAATGCTAGACAGAAGAATTCTCAGTCACTTCTTTGTGTTGTGTGTATTCAAGTCACAGAGTTGAACCTTCCTTTACACAGAGCAGTTTTGAAAAACTCTTTCTGTGGAATTTGCAAGTGGAGATTTCAAGCGATTTGAGGCTAATCTTTGAAATGGAAATAGCTTCGTGTAAAAACTACACAGAATCATTGTCAGAAACTGCTTTGTTATGTGTGCGTTCAGCTCACAGAGTTCCACCTTTCTTTTCATAGAGCAGTTTGGAAAGACTCTGTCTGTAAAGTCTGCAAGTGATTACTTGGACCCCTTTGAGGACTTCGTTGGAAGCGGGATTTTTTCATTTACTGCTAGACAGAAGAATTCTCAGTAAATCCTTTGTGTTGTGTGTATTCAACTCACAGAGTGGAACCTTCCTTTATTCAGAGCACTTTTGAAACACTCTTTTTGTGGAAATTGCAAGTGGAGATTTCAAGCGAATTCACGCCAATCTTAGACATGGAAACATCTTCGTATTAAAAGTACACAGAGTCATTCGCAGAAACTAGTTTGTGATGTGTGCCTTCAACTCACGGAGTTTAACCTTTCTTTTCATAGAGCAGTTTGGAAACACTCTCTTTGTAAAGTCTGCAAGTGGATATTTGGACCTCTTTGAGGCCTTCGTTGGAAACGGGATTTCTTCATATAACGCTAGACAGAAGAATTCTCAGTAACTTCTTTGTGTTGTGTATATTCCACTCACAGATTTGAACCTTTCTTGAGAGAGAGCAGAGTTGAAACACTCTGTTTGTGGAATTTGCTAGTGCAGATTTCAAACGCTTCGAAGACAGTGATAGAAAAGGATATATCTTCGTATTAAAACTAGACAAAATCATTCTCAGAAAACACTTTGTGATGTGTGTGTTCAACTCACAGAGTTTAACCTTTCTTTAATCGAGCAGTTTGGAAATACACTCTTTGTAAGTCTGCAGCTGGATAATTGTCCCTCTAGGAGCCCTTCGTTGGAAACGGGATTTCCTCTTATAATGCTAGACAGAAGAATTCTCAGTCACTTCTTTGTGTTGTGTGTATTCAAGTCACAGAGTTGAACTTTCCTTTACACAGAGCAGTTTTGAAAAACTCTTTCTGTGGAATTTGCAAGTGGAGATTTCAAGCGATTTGAGGCTAATACTTTGAAATGGAAATAGCTTCGTGTAAAAACTACACAGAATCATTCTCAGAAACTGCTTTGTTATTTGTGCATTCAGCTCACCGAGTTCCACCTTTCTTTTCATAGAGCAGTTTGGAAAGACTCTGCCTGTAAAGTCTACAAGTGATTACTTGGACCCCTTTGAGAACTTCGTTGGAAGCGGGATTTTTTCATTTACTGCTAAACAGAAGAATTCTCAGTAAATCCTTTGTGTTGTGTGTATTCAACTCACAGAGTTGAACCTTCCTTTATTCAGAGCAGTTTTGAAACACTCTTTTCGTGGAATTTGCAAGTGGAGATTTCAAGGGATTTCACGCCAATCTTAGACATGGAAATATCTTCGTATTTAAAGTACACAGAGTCATTCGCAGAAACTAGTTTGTGATGTGTGCCTTCAACTCACAGAGTTTAAGCTTTCTTTTCATAGAGCAGTTTGGAAACACTCTATTTGTAAAGTCTGCAAGTGGATATTTGGACCTCTTTGAGGCCTTCGTTGGAAACGGGATTTCTTCATATAACGCTAGACAGAAGAATTCTCTGTAACTTCTTTGTGTTGTGTGTATTCCACTCACAGAGTTGAACCTTTGTTGAGAGAGAGCAGAGTTGAAACACTCTTTCTGTGGAATTTGCTAGTGCAGATTTCAAACGCTTCGAAGACAGTGATAGAAAAGGATATATCTTCGTATTAAAACTAGACAAAATCATTCTCAGAAAACACTTTGTGATGTGTGTGTTCAACTCACAGAGTTTAACCTTTCTTTAATCGAGCAGTTTGGAAATGCACTCTTTGTAAGTCTGCAGGTGGATAATTGTCCCTCTATGAGCCCTTCGTTGGAAACGGGATTTCCTCATATAATGCTAGACAGAAGAATTCTCAGTCACTTCTTTGTGTTGTGTGTATTCAAGTCACAGAGTTGAACCTTCCTTTAGACAGAGCAGTTTTGAAAAATTCTTTCTGTGTAATTTGCAAGTGGAGATTTCAAGCGATTTGAGGCTAATCTTTGAAATGGAAATATCTTCGTGTAAAAACTACACAGAATCATTCTCAGAAACTGCTTTGTCATCTGTGCGTTCAGTTCACAGAGTTTCACCTTTCTCTTCATAGAGCAGTTTGGAAAGACTCTGTCTGTAAAGTCTGCAAGTGATTAGTTAGACCCCTTTGAGGCCTTCGTTGGAAGCGGGATTTCTCATTTACTGCTAGACAGAAGAATTCTCAGTAAATCCTTTGTGTTGTGTGTATTCAACTAACAGAGTGGAACCTTCCTTTATTCAGAGCAGTTTTGAAAGACTCTTTTTGTGGAATTTGCAAGTGGAGATTTCAAGCGATTTGACGCCAATCTTAGACATGGAAATATCTTCATATTAAAAGTACACAGAGTCATTCGTAGAAACTAGTTTGTGATGTGTGCCTTCAACTCACAGAGTTTAACCTTTCTTTTCATAGAGCAGTTCAGAAACACTCTATTTGTAAAGTCTGCAAGTGGATATTTGGACCTCTTTGAGGCCTTCGTTGGAAACGGGATTTCTTCATATAACGCTAGACAGAAGAATTCTCAGTAACTTCTTTGTGTTGTGTGTATTCCACTCACAGAGTTGAAACTTTCTTGAGAGAGAGCAGAGTTGAAACACTCTGTTTGTGGAATTTGCTAGTGCAGATTTCAAACGCTTCGAAGACAGTGATAGAAAAGGATATATCTTCGTATTAAAACTAGACAAAATCATTCTCAGAAAACACTTTGTGATGTGTGTGTTCAACTCACAGAGTTTAACCTTTCTTTAATCGAGCAGTTTGGAAATACACTCTTTGTAAGTCTGCAGCTGGATAATTGTCCCTCTATGAGCCCTTCGTTGGAAACGGGATTTCCTCATATAATGCTAGACAGAAGAATTCTCAGTAACTTCTTTGTGTTGTTTGTATTCAACTCACAGATTTGAACCTTCCTTTGGAGAGAGCAGATTTGAAACACTCTGTTTTTGGAATTTGCAAGTGCAGATTGCAAGCGCTTCTAGGCCTATGGCAGAAAAGGAAATATCTTCGTATAAAAACTACACAGAATCATTCTCAACAACTACTTTGTGATGTGTGCGTTCAACTCACAGAGTTTAACCTTTCTTTTCATAGAGCAGTTTGGAAACACTCTGTTTGTAAAGTCTGCAGGTGCTTATTTGGACTTCTTTGAGGCCTTCGTTGGAAACGGGATTTCTTCATATAATGCTAGACAGAAGAATTCTCAGTCACTTCTTTGTGTTGTGTGTATTCAAGTCACAGAGTTGAACCTTCCTTTACACAGAGCAGTTTTGAAAAACTCTTTCTGTGGAATTTGCAAGTGGAGATTTCAAGCGATTTGAGGCTAATCTTTGAAATGGAAATATCTTCGTGTAAAAACTACACAGAATCATTCTCAGAAACTCCTTTGTTATGTGTGCGTTCAGCTCACAGAGTTCCACCTTTCTTTTCATAGAGCAGTTTGGAAAGACTCTGTCTGTAAAGTCTGCAAGTGATTACTTGGACCCCTTTGAGGACTTCGTTGGAAGCGGGATTTTTTCATTTACTGCCAGACAGAAGAATTCTCAGTAAATCCTTTGTGTTGTGTGTACTCAACTCACAGAGTGGAACCTTCCTTTATTCAGAGCAGTTTTGAAACACTCTTTTTGTGGAATTTGCAAGTGGAGATTTCAAGCGAATTCACGCCAATCTTAGACATGGAAACATCTTCGTATTAAAAGTACACAGAGTCATTCGCAGAAACTAGTTTGTGATGTGTGCCTTCAACTCACGGAGTTTAACCTTTCTTTTCATAGAGCAGTTTGGAAACACTCTATTTGTAAAGTCTGCAAGTGGATATTTGGACCTCTTTGAGGCCTTCGTTGGAAACGGGATTTCTTCATATAACGCTAGACAGAAGAATTCTCAGTAACTTCTTTGTGTTGTTTGTATTCAACACACAGTATTTGAACCTTCCTTTAGAGAGAGCAGATTTGAAACACTCTGTTTTTGGAATTTGCAAGTGTAGATTTCAAGCGCTTCTAGGCCTATGGCAGAAAAGGAAATATCTTCGTATAAAAACTACACAGAATCATTCTCAGAAAACACTTTGTGATGTGTGTGTTCAACTCACAGAGTTTAACCTTTCTTTAATCGAGCAGTTTGGAAATACACTCTTTGTAAGTCTGCAGCTGGATAATTGTCCCTCTATGAGCCCTTCGTTGGAAACGGGATTTCCTCTTATAATGCTAGACAGAAGAATTCTCAGTAACTTCTTTGTGTTGTTTGTATTCAACTCACAGATTTGAACCTTCCTTTGGAGAGAGCAGATTTGAAACACTCTGTTTTTGGAATTTGCAAGTGCAGATTGCAAGCACTTCTAGGCCTATGGCAGAAAATTAAATATCTTCGTATAAAAACTACACAGAATCATTCTCAACAACTACTTTGTGATGTGTGCGTTCAACTCACAGAGTTTAACCTTTCTTTTCATAGAGCAGTTTGGAAACACTCTGTTTGTAAAGTCTGCAGGTGCTTATTTGGACTTCTTTGAGGCCTTCGTTGGAAACGGGATTTCTTCATATAATGCTAGACAGAAGAATTCTCAGTCACTTCTTTGTGTTGTGTGTATTCAAGTCACAGAGTTGAACCTTCCTTTACACAGAGCAGTTTTGAAAAACTCTTTCTGTGGAATTTGCAAGTGGAGATTTCAAGCGATTTGAGGCTAATCTTTGAAATGGAAATATCTTCGTGTAAAAACTACACAGAATCATTCTCAGAAACTGCTTTGTTATGTGTGCGTTCAGCTCACAGAGTTCCACCTTTCTTTTCATAGAGCAGTTTGGAAAGACTCCGTCTGTAAAGTCTGCAAGTGATTACTTGGACCCCTTTGAGGACTTCGTTGGAAGCGGGATTTTTTCATTTACTGCTAGACAGAAGAATTCTCAGTAAATCCTTTGTGTTGTGTGTATTCAACTCACAGAGTGGAACCTTCCTTTATTCAGAGCACTTTTGAAACACTCTTTTTGTGGAATTTGCAAGTGGAGATTTCAAGCGAATTCACGCCAATCTTAGACATGGAAACATCTTCGTATTAAAAGTACACAGAGTCATTCGCAGAAACTAGTTTGTGATGTGTGCCTTCAACTCACGGAGTTTAACCTTTCTTTTCATAGAGCAGTTTGGAAACACTCTATTTGTAAAGTCTGCAAGTGGATATTTGGACCTCTTTGAGGCCTTCGTTGGAAACGGGATTTCTTCATATAACGCTAGACAGAAGAATTCTCAGTAACTTCTTTGTGTTGTGTGTATTCAACTCACAGAGTTGAACCTTTCTTGAGAGAGAGCAGAGTTGAAACACTCTGTTTGTGGAATTTGCTAGTGCAGATTTCAAACGCTTCGAAGACAGTGATAGAAAAGGATATATCTTCGTATTAAAACTAGACAAAATCA
This sequence comes from Homo sapiens, assembly GCF_000001405.40. Taxonomy (NCBI): domain Eukaryota; kingdom Metazoa; phylum Chordata; class Mammalia; order Primates; family Hominidae; genus Homo; species Homo sapiens. The sequence continues at coordinate 40,535,713 of NC_000010.11, forward strand.
TTCTCAGAAAACACTTTGTGATGTGTGTGTTCAACTCACAGAGTTTAACCTTTCTTTAATCGAGCAGTTTGGAAATACACTCTTTGTAAGTCTGCAGCTGGATAATTGTCCCTCTATGAGCCCTTCGTTGGAAACGGGATTTCCTCTTATAATGCTAGACAGAAGAATTCTCAGTAACTTCTTTGTGTTGTTTGTATTCAACTCACAGATTTGAACCTTCCTTTGGAGAGAGCAGATTTGAAACACTCTGTTTGTGGAATTTGCAAGTGCAGATTGCAAGCGCTTCTAGGCCTATGGCAGAAAAGGAAATATCTTCGTATAAAAACTACACAGAATCATTCTCAGAAAACACTTTGTGATGTGTGTGTTCAACTCACAGAGTTTAACCTTTCTTTAATCGAGCAGTTTGGAAATACACTCTTTGTAAGTCTGCAGCTGGATAATTGTCCCTCTATGAGCCCTTCGTTGGAAACGGGATTTCCTCTTATAATGCTAGACAGAAGAATTCTCAGTAACTTCTTTGTGTTGTTTGTATTCAACTCACAGATTTGAACCTTCCTTTAGAGAGAGCAGATATGAAACACTCTGTTTTTGGAATTTGCAAGTGCAGATTACAAGCGCTTCTAGGCCTATGGCAGAAAAGGAAATATCTTCGTATAAAAACTACACAGAATCATTCTCAACAACTACTTTGTGATGTGTGCGTTCAACTCACAGAGTTTAACCTTTCTTTTCATAGAGCAGTTTGGAAACACTCTGTTTGTAAAGTCTGCAGGTGCTTATTTGGACTTCTTTGAGGCCTTCGTTGGAAACGGGATTTCTTCATGTAATGCTAGACAGAAGAATTCTCAGTCACTTCTTTGTGTTGTGTGTATTCAAGTCACAGAGTTGAACCTTCCTTTACACAGAGCAGTTTTGAAAAACTCTTTCTGTGGAATTTGCAAGTGGAGATTTCAAGCGATTTGAGGCTAATCTTTGAAATGGAAATAGCTTCGTGTAAAAACTACACAGAATCATTCTCAGAAACTGCTTTGTTATGTGTGCGTTCAGCTCACAGAGTTCCACCTTTCTTTTCATAGAGCAGTTTGGAAAGACTCTGTCTGTAAAGTCTGCAAGTGATTACTTGGACCCCTTTGAGGACTTCGTTGGAAGCGGGATTTTTTCATTTACTGCTAGACAGAAGAATTCTCAGTAAATCCTTTGTGTTGTGTGTATTCAACTCACAGAGTGGAACCTTCCTTTATTCAGAGCAGTTTTGAAACACTCTTTTTGTGGAATTTGCAAGTGGAGATTTCAAGCGAATTCACGCCAATCTTAGACATGGAAACATCTTCGTATTAAAAGTACACAGAGTCATTCGCAGAAACTAGTTTGTGATGTGTGCCTTCAACTCACAGAGTTTAACCTTTCTTTTCATAGAGCAGTTTGGAAACACTCTATTTGTAAAGTCTGCAAGTGGATATTTGGACGTCTTTGAGGCCTTCTTTGGAAACGGGATTTCTTCATATAACGCTAGACAGAAGAATTCTCAGTAACTTCTTTGTGTTGTGTGTATTCCACTCACAGAGTTGAACCTTTCTTGAGAGAGAGCAGAGTTGAAACACTCTGTTTGTGGAATTTGCTAGTGCAGATTTCAAACGCTTCGAAGACAGTGATAGAAAAGGATATATCTTCGTATTAAAACTAGACAAAATCATTCTCAGAAAACACTTTGTGATGTGTGTGTTCAACTCACAGAGTTTAACCTTTCTTTAATCGAGCAGTTTGGAAATACACTCTTTGTAAGTCTGCAGCTGGATAATTGTCCCTCTATGAGCCCTTCGTTGGAAACGGGATTTCCTCATATAATGCTAGACAGAAGAATTCTCAGTAACTTCTTTGTGTTGTTTGTATTCAACTCACAGATTTGAACCTTCCTTTGGAGAGAGCAGATTTGAAACACTCTGTTTTTGTAATTTGCAAGTGCAGATTGCAAGCGCTTCTAGGCCTATGGCAGAAAAGGAAATATCTTCGTATAAAAACTACACAGAATCATTCTCAACAACTACTTTGTGATGTGTGCGTTCAACTCACAGAGTTTAACCTTTCTTTTCATAGAGCAGTTTGGAAACACTCTGTTTGTAAAGCCTGCAAGTGCTTTTTTGGACTTCATTGAGGCCTTCGTTGGAAACGGGATTTCTTCATATAATGCTAGACAGAAGAATTCTCAGTCACTTCTTTGTGTTGTGTGTATTCAAGCCACAGAGTTGAACCTTCCTTTAGACAGAGCAGTTTTGAAAAATTCTTTCTGTGTAATTTGCAAGTGGAGATTTCAAGCGATTTGAGGCTAATCTTTGAAATGGAAATATCTTCGTGTAAAAACTACACAGAATCATTCTCAGAAACTGCTTTGTCATCTGTGCGTTCAGTTCACAGAGTTTCACCTTTCTCTTCATAGAGCAGTTTGGAAAGACTCTGTCTGTAAAGTCTGCAAGTGATTAGTTAGACCCCTTTGAGGCCTTCGTTGGAAGCGGGATTTCTCATTTACTGCTAGACAGAAGAATTCTCAGTAAATCCTTTGTGTTGTGTGTATTCAACTCACAGAGTGGAACCTTCCTTTATTCAGAGCAGTTTTGAAACACTCTTTTTGTGGAATTTGCAAGTGGAGATTTTAAGCGATTTGACGCCAATCTTAGACATGGAAAAATCTTCATATTAAAAGTACACAGAGTCATTCGTAGAAACTAGTTTGTGATGTGTGCCTTCAACTCACAGAGTTTAACCTTTCTTTTCATAGAGCAGTTGGGAAACACTCTATTTGTAAAGTCTGCAAGTGGATATTTGGACCTCTTTGAGGCCTTCGTTGGAAACGGGATTTCTTCATATAACGCTAGACAGAAGAATTCTCAGTAACTTCTTTGTGTTGTGTGTATTCAACTCACAGAGTTGAACCTTTCTTTAGAGAGAGCAGAGTTGAAACACTCTGTTTTTGGAATTTGCAAGTGCAGATTTCAAGCGATTCTAGGCCTATGGCAGAAAAGGAAATATCTTCGTATAAAAACTACACAGAATCATTCTCAACAACTACTTTGTGATGTGTGCGTTCAACTCACAAAGTTTAACCTTTCTTTTCATAGAGAAGGTTGGAAACACTCTGTTTGTAAAGCCTGCAAGTGCTTTTTTGGACTTCATTGAGGCCTTCTTTGGAAACGGGATTTCTTCATATAATGCTAGACAGAAGAATTCTCAGTCACTTCTTTGTGTTTTGTGTATTCAAGTCACAGAGTTGAACCTTCCTTTACACAGAGCAGTTTTGAAAAACTCTTTCTGTGGAATTTGCAAGTGGAGATTTCAAGCGATTTGAGGCTAATCTTTGAAATGGAAATAGCTTCGTGTAAAAACTACACAGAATCATTCTCAGAAACTGCTTTGTTATGTGTGCGTTCAGCTCACAGAGTTCCACCTTTCTTTTCATAGAGCAGTTTGGAAAGACTCTGTCTGTAAAGTCTGCAAGTGATTACTTGGACCCCTTTGAGGACTTCGTTGGAAGCGGGATTTTTTCATTTACTGCTAGACAGAAGAATTCTCAGTAAATCCTTTGTGTTGTGTGTATTCAACTCACAGAGTGGAACCTTCCTTTATTCAGAGCAGTTTTGAAACACTCTTTTTGTGGAATTTGCAAGTGGAGATTTCAAGCGAATTCACGCCAATCTTAGACATGGAAACATCTTCGTATTAAAAGTACACAGAGTCATTCGCAGAAACTAGTTTGTGATGTGTGCCTTCAACTCACAGAGTTTAACCTTTCTTTTCATAGAGCAGTTTGGAAACACTCTATTTGTAAAGTCTGCAAGTGGATATTTGGACCTCTTTGAGGCCTTCGTTGGAAACGGGATTTCTTCATATAACGCTAGACAGAAGAATTCTCAGTAACTTCTTTGTGTTGTGTGTATTCCACTCACAGAGTTGAACCTTTCTTGAGAGAGAGCAGAGTTGAAACACTCTGTTTGTGGAATTTGCTTGTGCCGATTTCAAACGCTTCGAAGACAGTGATAGAAAAGGATATATCTTCCTATTAAAACTAGACAAAATCATTCTCAGAAAACACTTTGTGATGTGTGTGTTCAACTCACAGAGTTTAACCTTTCTTTAATCGAGCAGTTTGGAAATACACTCTTTGTAAGTCTGCAGCTGGATAATTGTCCCTCTATGAGCCCTTCGTTGGAGACGGGATTTCCTCATATAATGCTAGACAGAAGAATTCTCAGTCACTTCTTTGTGTTGTGTGTATTCAAGTCACAGAGTTGAACCTTCCTTTAGACAGAGCAGTTTTGAAAAATTCTTTCTGTGGAGTTTGCAAGTGGAGATTTCAAGCGATTTGAGGCTAATCTTTGAAATGGAAATATCTTCGTGTAAAAACTACACAGAATCATTCTCAGAAACTGCTTTGTCATCTGTGCGTTCAGTTCACAGAGTTTCACCTTTCTCTTCATAGAGCAGTTTGGAAAGACTCTGTCTGTAAAGTCTGCAAGTGATTAGTTAGACCCCTTTGAGGCCTTCGTTGGAAGCGGGATTTCTCATTTACTGCTAGACAGAAGAATTCTCAGTAAATCCTTTGTGTTGTGTGTATTCAACTCACAGAGTGGAACCTTCCTTTATTCAGAGCAGTTTTGAAAAACACTTTTTGTGGAATTTGCAAGTGGAGATTTCAAGCGATTTGATGCCAATCTTAGACATGGAAATGTCTTCATATTAAAAGTACACAGAGTCATTCGTAGAAACTAGTTTGTGATGTGTGCCTTCAACTCACAGAGTTTAACCTTTCTTTTCATAGAGCAGTTGGGAAACACTCTATTTGTAAAGTCTGCAAGTGGATATTTGGACCTCTTTGAGGCCTTCGTTGGAAACGGGATTTCTTCATATAACGCTAGACAGAAGAATTCTCAGTAACTTCTTTGTGTTGTGTGTATTCAACTCACAGAGTTGAACCTTTCTTTAGAGGGAGCAGAGGTGAAACACTCTTTTTGTGGAATTTGCTAGTGTAGATTTCAAACGCTTCGAAGACAGTGATAGAAAAGGATATATCTTCGTATTAAAAGTAGACAAAATCATTCTCAGAAAACTCTTTGTGATGTGTGTGTTCAACTCACAGAGTTTAACCTTTCTTTAATCGAGCAGTTTGGAAATACACTCTTTGTAAGTCTGCAGGTGGATATTTGGCCCTCTTTGAGCCCTTCGTTGGAAACGGGATTTCCTCATATAATGCTAGACAGAAGAATTCTCAGTAACTTCTTTGTGTTGTTTGTATTCAACACACAGATTTGAACCTTCCTTTAGAGAGAGCAGATTTGAAACACTCTGTTTTTGGAATTTGCAAGTGCAGATTTCAAGCGCTTCTAGGCCTATGGCAGAAAAGGAAATATCTTCGTATAAAAACTACACAGAATCATTCTCAACAACTACTTTGTGATGTGTGCGTTCAACTCACAGAGTTTAACCTTTCTTTTCATAGAGCAGTTTGGAAACACTCTGTTTGTAAAGCGTGCAAGTGCTTTTTTGGACTTCATTGAGGCCTTCGTTGGAAACGGGATTTCTTCATACAACGCTAGACAGAAGAATTCTCAGTAACTTCTTTGTGTTGTGTGTATTCAACTCACAGAGTTGAACCTTTCTTTAGAGAGAGCAGAGTTGAAACACTCTGTTTTTGGAATTTGCAAGTGCAGATTTCAAGCGATTCTAGGCCTATGGCAGAAAAGGAAATATCTTCGTATAAAAACTACACAGAATCATTCTCAACAACTACTTTGTGATGTGTGCGTTCAACTCACAGAGTTTAACCTTTCTTTTCATAGAGCAGTTTGGAAACACTCTGTTTGTAAAGCCTGCAAGTGCTTTTTTGGACTTCATTGAGGCCTTCGTTGGAAACGGGATTTCTTCATATAATGCTAGACAGAAGAATTCTCAGTAACTTCTTTGTGTTGTGTGTATTCAACTCACAGAGTTGAACCTTTCTTTAGAGAGAGCAGAGTTGAAACACTCTGTTTTTGGAATTTGCAAGTGCAGATTTCAAGCGATTCTAAGCCTATGGCAGAAAAGGAAATATCTTCGTATAAAAACTACACAGAATCATTCTCAACAACTACTTTGTGATGTGTGCGTTCAACTCACAAAGTTTAACCTTTCTTTTCATAAAGAAGTTTGGAAACACTCTGTTTGTAAAGCCTGCAAGTGCTTTTTTGGACTTCATTGAGGCCTTCGTTGGAAACGGGATTTCTTCATATAATGCTAGACAGAAGAATTCTCAGTAAATCCTTTGTGTTGTGTGTATTCAACTCACAGAGTGGAACCTTCCTTTATTCAGAGCAGTTTTGAAAAACACTTTTTGTGGAATTTGCAAGTGGAGATTTCAAGCGATTTGACGCCAATCTTAGACATGGAAATATCTTCATATTAAAAGTACACAGAGTCATTCGCAGAAACTAGTTTGTGATGTGTGCCTTCAACTCACGGAGTTTAACCTTTCTTTTCATAGAGCAGTTTGGAAACACTCTATTTGTAAAGTCTGCAAGTGGATATTTGGACCTCTTTGAGGCCTTCGTTGGAAACGGGATTTCTTCATATAACGCTAGACAGAAGAATTCTCAGTAACTTCTTTGTGTTGTGTGTATTCAACTCACAGAGTTGAACCTTTCTTTAGAGAGAGCAGAGTTGAAACACTCTGTTTTTGGAATTTGCAAGTGCAGATTTCAAGCGATTCTAGGCCTATGGCAGAAAAGGAAATATCTTCGTATAAAAACTACACAGAATCATTCTCAACAACTACTTTGTGATGTGTGCGTTCAACTCACAGAGTTTAACCTTTCTTTTCATAGAGCAGTTTGGAAACACTCTGTTTGTAAAGCCTGCAAGTGCTTTTTTGGACTTCATTGAGGCCTTCGTTGGAAACGGGATTTCTTCATATAATGCTAGACAGAAGAATTCTCAGTCACTTCTTTGTGTTGTGTGTATTCAAGTCACAGAGTTGAACCTTCCTTTGACAGAGCAGTTTTGAAAAATTCTTTCTGTGGAGTTTGCAAGTGGAGATTTCAAGCGATTTGAGGCTAATCTTTGAAATGGAAATATCTTCGTGTAAAAACTACACAGAATCATTCTCAGAAACTGCTTTGTCATCTGTGCGTTCAGTTCACAGAGTTTCACCTTTCTCTTCATAGAGCAGTTTGGAAAGACTCTGTCTGTAAAGTCTGCAAGTGATTAGTTAGACCCCTTTGAGGCCTTCGTTGGAAGCGGGATTTCTCATTTACTGCTAGACAGAAGAATTCTCAGTAAATCCTTTGTGTTGTGTGTATTCAACTCACAGAGTGGAACCTTCCTTTATTCAGAGCAGTTTTGAAAAACACTTTTTGTGGAATTTGCAAGTGGAGATTTCAAGCGATTTGACGCCAATCTTAGACATGGAAATATCTTCATATTAAAAGTACACAGAGTCATTCGTAGAAACTAGTTTGTGATGTGTGCCTTCAACTCACAGAGTTTAACCTTTCTTTTCATAGAGCAGTTGGGAAACACTCTATTTGTAAAGTCTGCAAGTGGATATTTGGACCTCTTTGAGGCCTTCGTTGGAAACGGGATTTCTTCATATAACGCTAGACAGAAGAATTCTCAGTAACTTCTTTGTGTTGTGTGTATTCAACTCACAGAGTTGAACCTTTCTTTAGAGGGAGCAGAGGTGAAACACTCTTTTTGTGGAATTTGCTAGTGTAGATTTCAAACGCTTCGAAGACAGTGATAGAAAAGGATATATCTTCGTATTAAAAGTAGACAAAATCATTCTCAGAAAACTCTTTGTGATGTGTGTGTTCAACTCACAGAGTTTAACCTTTCTTTAATCGAGCAGTTTGGAAATACACTCTTTGTAAGTCTGCAGGTGGATATTTGGCCCTCTTTGAGCCCTTCGTTGGAAACGGGATTTCCTCATATAATGCTAGACAGAAGAATTCTCAGTAACTTCTTTGTGTTGTTTGTATTCAACACACAGATTTGAACCTTCCTTTAGAGAGAGCAGATTTGAAACACTCTGTTTTTGGAATTTGCAAGTGCAGATTTCAAGCGCTTCTAGGCCTATGGCAGAAAAGGAAATATCTTCGTATAAAAACTACACAGAATCATTCTCAACAACTACTTTGTGATGTGTGCGTTCAACTCACAGAGTTTAACCTTTCTTTTCATAGAGCAGTTTGGAAACACTCTGTTTGTAAAGTCTGCAAGTGCTTTTTTGGACTTCATTGAGGCCTTCGTTGGAAACGGGATTTCTTCATATAATGCTAGACAGAAGAATTCTCAGTCACTTCTTTGTGTTGTGTGTATTCAAGTCACAGAGTTGAACCTTCCTTTAGACAGAGCAGTTTTGAAAAATTCTTTCTGTGGAGTTTGCAAGTGGAGATTTCAAGCGATTTGAGGCTAATCTTTGAAATGGAAATATCTTCGTGTAAAAACTACACAGAATCATTCTCAGAAACTGCTTTGTCATCTGTGCGTTCAGTTCACAGAGTTTCACCTTTCTCTTCATAGAGCAGTTTGGAAAGACTCTGTCTGTAAAGTCTGCAAGTGATTAGTTAGACCCCTTTGAGGCCTTCGTTGGAAGCGGGATTTCTCATTTACTGCTAGACAGAAGAATTCTCAGTAAATCCTTTGTGTTGTGTGTATTCAACTCACAGAGTGGAACCTTCCTTTATTCAGAGCACTTTTGAAAAACACTTTTTGTGGAATTTGCAAGTGGAGATTTCAAGCGATTTGACGCCAATCTTAGACATGGAAATATCTTCATATTAAAAGTACACAGAGTCATTCGTTAAAACTAGTTTGTGATGTGTGCCTTCAACTCACAGCAGTTTAACCTTTCTTTTCATAGAGCAGTTTGGAAACACTCTATTTGTAAAGTCTGCAAGTGGATATTTGGAGCTCTTTGAGGCCTTCGTTGGAAACGGGATTTCTTCATACAACGCTAGACAGAAGAATTCTCAGTAACTTCTTTGTGTTGTGTGTATTCAACTCACAGAGTTGAACCTTTCTTTAGAGAGAGCAGAGTTGAAACACTCTGTTTTTGGAATTTGCAAGTGCAGATATCAAGCGATTCTAGGCCTATGGCAGAAAAGGAAATATCTTCGTATAAAAACTGCACAGAATCATTCTCAACAACTACTTTGTGATGTGTGCGTTCAACTCACAAAGTTTAACCTTTCTTTTCATAGAGCAGTTTGGAAACACTCTGTTTGTAAAGCCTGCAAGTGCTTTTTTGGACTTCATTGAGGCCTTCGTTGGAAACGGGATTTCTTCATATAATGCTAGACAGAAGAATTCTCAGTAAATCATTTGTGTTGCGTTTATTCAACTCACAGAGTGGAACCTTCCTTTATTCAGAGCAGTTTTGAAACACTCTTTTTGTGGAATTTGCAAGTGGAGATTTCAAGCGATTTGACGCCAATCTTAGACATGGAAATATCTTCATATTAAAAGTACACAGAATCATTCGTAGAAACTAGTTTGTGATGTGTGCCTTCAACTCACAGAGTTTAACCTTTCTTTTCATAGAGCAGTTCAGAAACACTCTATTTGTAAAGTCTGCAAGTGGATATTTGGACCTCTTTGAGGCCATCGTTGGAAAAGGGATTTCTTCATATAACGCTAGACAGAAGAATTTTCAGTAACTTCTTTGTGTTGTGTGTATTCAACTCACAGAGTTCAACTTTTCTTTAGAGAGAGCAGAGTTGAAACACTCTTTTTGTGGAATTTGCTAGTGCAGATTTCAAACGCTTCGAAGACAGTGATAGCAAAGGATATATCTTCGTATTAAAACTAGACAAAATCATTCTCAGAAAACACTTTGTGATGTGTGTGTTCAACTCACAGAGTTTAACCTTTCTTTAATCGAGCAGTTTGGAAATACACTCTTTGTAAGTCTGCAGGTGGATAATTGGCCCTCTTTGAGCCCTTCGTTGGAAACGGGATTTCCTCATATAATGCTAGACAGAAGAATTCTCAGTAACTTCTTTGTGTTGTTTGTATTCAACTCACAGATTTGAACCTTCCTTTAGAGAGAGCAGATTTGAAACACTCTGTTTTTGGAATTTGCAAGTGCAGATTTCAAGCGCTTCTAGGCCTATGGCAGAAAAGGAAATATCTTCGTATAAAAACTACACAGAATCATTCTCAACAACTACTTTGTGATGTGTGCGTTCAACTCACACAGTTTAACCTTTCTTTTCTTAGAGCAGTTTGGAAACACTCTGTTTGTAAAGCCTGCAAGTGCATTTTTGGACTTCATTGAGGCCTTTGTTGGAAACGGGATTTCTTCATATAATGCTAGACAGAAGAATTCTCAGTCAGTTCTTTGTGTTGTGTGTATTCAAGTCACAGAGGTGAACCTTCTTTTAGACAGAGCAGTTTTGAAAAATTCTTTCTGTGGAATTTGCAATTGGAGATTTTAAGCGATTTGAGGCTAATCTTTGAAATGGAAATATCTTCGTGTAAAAACTACACAGATTCAGTCTCAGAAACTGCTTTGTTATCTGTGCGTTCAGTTCACAGAGTTTCACCTTTCTCTTCATAGAGCAGTTTGGAAAGACTCTGTCTGTAAAGTCTGCAAGTGATTAGTTAGACCCCTTTGAGGCCTTCGTTGGAAGCGGGATTTCTCATTTACTGCTAGACAGAAGAATTCTCAGTAAATCCTTTGTGTTGTGTGTATTCAACTCACAGAGTGGAACCTTCCTTTATTCAGAGCAGTTTTGAAAAACACTTTTTGTGGAATTTGCAAGTGGAGATTTCAAGCGATTTGACGCCAATCTTAGACATGGAAATATCTTCATATTAAAAGTACACAGAGTCATTCGTAGAAACTAGTTTGTGATGTGTGCCTTCAACTCACAGAGTTTAACCTTTCTTTTCATAGAGCAGTTGGGAAACACTCTATTTGTAATGTCTGCAAGTGGATATTTGGACCTCTTTGAGGCCTTCGTTGGAAATGGGATTTCTTCATTCAACACTAGACAGAAGAATTCTCAGTAACTTCTTTGTGTTGTGTGTATTCAACTCACAGAGTTGAACCTTTCTTTAGAGAGAGCAGAGTTCAAACACTCTGTTTTTGGAATTTGCAAGTGCAGATTTCAAGCGATTCTAGGCCTATGGCAGGAAAGGAAATATCTTCGTATGAAAACTACACAGAATCATTCTCAACAACTACTTTGTGATGTGTGCGTTCAACTCACAAAGTTTAACCTTTCTTTTCATAGAGCAGTTTGGAAACACGCTGTTTGTAAAGCCTGCAAGTGCTTTTTTGGACTTCATTGAGGCCTTCGTTGGAAACGGGATTTCTTCATATAATGCTAGACAGAAGAATTCTCAGTAAATCATTTGTGTTGCGTTTATTCAACTCACAGAGTGGAACCTTCCTTTATTCAGAGCAGTTTTGAAACACTCTTTTTGTGGAATTTGCAAGTGGAGATTTCAAGCGATTTGACGCCAATCTTAGACATGGAAATATCTTCATATTAAAAGTACACAGAATCATTCGTAGAAACTAGTTTGTGATGTGTGCCTTCAACTCACCGAGTTTAACCTTTCTTTTCATAGAGCAGTTCGGAAACACTCTATTTGTAAAGTCTGCAAGTGGATATTTGGACCTCTTTGAGGCCATCGTTGGAAAAGGGATTTCTTCATATAACGCTAGACAGAAGAATTCTCAGTAACTTCTTTGTGTTGTGTGTATTCCACTCACAGAGTTGAACCTTTCTTGAGAGAGAGCAGAGTTGAAACACTCTGTTTGTGGAATTTGCTTGTGCCGATTTGAAACGCTTCGAAGACAGTGATAGAAAAGGATATATCTTCGTATTAAAACTAGACAAAATCATTCTCAGAAAACACTTTGTGATGTGTGTGTTCAACTCACAGAGTTTAACCTTTCTTTAATCGAGCAGTTTGGAAATACACTCTTTGTAAGTCTGCAGCTGGATAATTGTCCCTACTATGAGCCCTTCGTTGGAAACGGGATTTCCTCATATAATGCTAGACAGAAGAATTCTCAGTAACTTCTTTGTGTTGTTTGTATTCAACTCACAGATTTGAACCTTCCTTTAGAGAGGGCAGATTTGAAACACTCTGTTTTTAGAATTTGCAAGTGCAAATTTCAAGCGCTTCTAGGCCTATGGCAGAAAAGGAAATATCTTCGTATAAAAACTACACAGAATCATTCTCAACAACTACTTTGTGATGTGTGCGTTCAACTCACAGAGTTTAACGTTTCTTTTCATAGAGCAGTTTGGAAACACTCTGTTTGTAAACCCTGCAAGTGCTTTTTTGGACTTCATTGAGGCCTTCGTTGGAAACGGGATTTCTTCATATAATGCTAGACAGAAGAATTCTCAGTCACTTCTTTGTGTTGTGAGTATTCAAGTCACAGAGTTGAACCTTCCTTTAGACAGAGCAGTTTTGAAAAATTCTTTCTGTGGAGTTTGCAAGTGGAGATTTCAAGCGATTTGAGGCTAATCTTTGAAATGGAAATATCTTCGTGTAAAAACTATACAGAAGCATTCTCAGAAACTGCTTTGTCATCTGTGCGTTCAGTTCACAGAGTTTCACCTTTCTCTTCATAGAGCAGTTTGGAAAGACTCTGTCTCTAAAGTCTGCAAGTGATTAGTTAGACCCCTTTGAGGCCTTCGTTGGAAGCGGGATTTCTCATTTACTGCTAGACAGAAGAATTCTCAGTAAATCCTTTGTGTTGTGTGTATTCAACTCACAGAGTGGAACCTTCCTTTATTCAGAGCAGTTTTGAAACACTCTTTTTGTGGAATTTGCAAGTGGAGATTTCAAGCGAATTCACGCCAATCTTAGACATGGAAACATCTTCGTATTAAAAGTACACAGAGTCATTCGCAGAAACTAGTTTGTGATGTGTGCCTTCAACTCACGGAGTTTAACCTTTCTTTTCATAGAGCAGTTTGGAAACACTCTATTTGTAAAGTCTGCAAGTGGATATTTGGACCTCTTTGAGGCCTTCGTTGGAAATGGGATTTCTTCATATAACGCTAGACAGAAGAATTCTCAGTAACTTCTTTGTGTTGTGTGTATTCAACTCACAGAGTTGAACCTTTCTTGAGAGAGAGCAGAGTTGAAACACTCTTTCTGTGGAATTTGCTAGTGCAGATTTCAAACGCTTCGAAGACAGTGATAGAAAAGGGTATATCTTCGTATTAAAACTAGACAAAATCATTCTCAGAAAACACTTTGTGATGTGTGTGTTCAACTCACAGAGTTTAACCTTTCTTTAATCGAGCAGTTTGGAAATACACTCTTTGTAAGTCTGCGGCTGGATAATTGTCCCTCTATGAGCCCTTCGTTGGAAACGGGATTTCCTCTTATAATGCTAGACAGAAGAATTCTCAGTAACTACTTTGTGTTGTTTGTATTCAACTCACAGATTGAACCTTCCTTTAGAGAGAGCAGATTTGTAACACTCTGTTTTTGGAATTTGCAAGTGCAGATTACAAGCGCTTCTAGGCCTATGGCAGAAAAGGAAATATCTTCGTATAAAAACTACACAGAATCATTCTCAGAAAACACTTTGTGATGTGTGTGTTCAACTCACAGAGTTTAACCTTTCTTTAATCGAGCAGTTTGGAAATACACTCTTTGTAAGTCTGCAGCTGGATAATTGTCCCTCTATGAGCCCTTCGTTGGAAACGGGATTTCCTCATATAATGCTAGACAGAAGAATTCTCAGTAAGTTCCTTGTATTGTTTGTATTCAACTCACAGATTTGAACTTTCCTTTAGAGAGAGCAGATTTGAAACACTCTGTTTTTGGAATTTGCAAGTGCAGATTTCAAGCGCTTCTAGGCCTATGGCAGAAAAGGAAATATCTTCGTATAAAAACTACACAGAATCATTCTCAACAACTACTTTGTGATGTGTGCGTTCAACTCACAGAGTTTAACTTTTCTTTTCATAGAGCAGTTTGGAAACACTCTGTTTGTAAAGTCTGCAGGTGCTTATTTGGACTTCTTTGAGGCCTTCGTTGGAAACGGGATTTCTTCATATAATGCTAGACAGAAGAATTCTCAGTCACGTCTTTGTGTTGTGTGTATTCAGGTCACAGAGTTGAACCTTCCTTTACACAGAGCAGTTTTGAAAAACTCTTTCTGTGGAATTTGCAAGTGGAGATTTCAAGCGATTTGAGGCTAATCTTTGAAATGGAAATATCTTCGTGTAAAAACTACACAGAATCATTCTCAGAAACTGCTTTGTTATGTGTGCGTTCAGCTCACACAGTTCCACCTTTCTTTTCATAGGGCAGTTTGGAAAGACTCTGTGAAGTCTGCAAGTGATTACTTGGACCCCTTTGAGGACTTCGTTGGAAGCGGGATTTTTTCATTTACTGCTAGACAGAAGAATTCTCAGTAAATCCTTTGTGTTGTGTGTATTCAACTCACAGAGTGGAACCTTCCTTTATTCAGAGCATTTTTGAAACACTCTTTTTGTGGAATTTGCAAGTGGAGATTTCAAGCGAATTCACGCCAATCTTAGACATGGAAACATCTTCGTATTAAAAGTACACAGAGTCATTCGCAGAAACTAGTTTGAGATGTGTGCCTTCAACACACGGAGTTTAACCTTTCTTTTCATAGAGCAGTTTGGAAACACTCTATTTGTAAAGTCTGCAAGTGGATATTTGGACCTCTTTGAGGCCTTCGTTGGAAACGGGATTTCTTCATATAACGCTAGACAGAAGAATTCTCTGTAACTTCTTTGTGTTGTGTGTATTCCACTCACAGAGTTGAACCTTTCTTGAGAGAGAGCAGATTTGAAACACTCTTTCTGTGGAATTTGCTAGTGCAGATTTCAAACGCTTCGAAGACAGTGATAGAAAAGGATATATCTTCGTATTAAAACTAGACAAAATCATTCTCAGAAAACACTTTGTGATGTGTGTGTTCAACTCACAGAGTTTAACCTTTCTTTAATCGAGCAGTTTGGAAATACACTCTTTGTAAGTGTGCAGGTGGATAATTGTCCCTCTATGAGCCCTTCGTTGGAAACGGGATTTCCTCATATAATGCTAGACAGAAGAATTCTCAGTAACTTCTTTGTGTTGTTTGTATTCAACTCACAGATTTGAACCTTCCTTTAGAGAGAGCAGATTTGAAACACTCTGTTTTTGGAATTTGCAAGTGCAGATTGCAAGCGCTTCTAGGCCTATGGCAGAAAAGGAAATATCTTCGTATAAAAACTACACAGAAATCATTCTCTACAACTACTTTGTGATGTGTGCATTCAACTCACAGAGTTTAACCTTTCTTTTCATAGAGCAGTTTGGAAACACTCTGTTTGTAAAGTCTGCAGGTGCTTATTTGGACTTCTTTGAGGCCTTCGTTGGAAACGGGATTTCTTCATATAATGCTAGACAGAAGAATTCTCAGTCACTTCTTTGTGTTGTGTGTATTCAAGTCACAGAGTTGAACCTTCCTTTACACAGAGCAGTTTTGAAAAACTCTTTCTGTGGAATTTGCAAGTGGAGATTTCAAGCGATTTGAGGCTAATCTTTGAAATGGAAATATCTTCGTGTAAAAACTACACAGAATCATTCTCAGAAACTGCTTTGTTATGTGTGCGTTCAGCTCACAGCGTTCCACCTTTCTTTTCGTAGAGCAGTTTGGAAAGACTCTGTCTGTAAAGTCTGCAAGTGATTACTTGGACACCTTTGAGGACTTCGTTGGAAGCGGGATTTTTTCATTTACTGCTAGACAGAAGAATTCTCAGTAAATCCTTTGTGTTGTGTGTATTCAACTCACAGAGTGGAACCTTCCTTTATTCAGAGCACATTTGAAACACTCTTTTTGTGGAATTTGCAAGTGGAGATTTCAAGCGAATTCACGCCAATCTTAGACATGGAAACATCTTCGTATTAAAAGTACACAGAGTCATTCGCAGAAACTAGTTTGTGATGTGTGCCTTCAACTCACGGAGTTTAACCTTTCTTTTCATAGAGCAGTTTGGAAACACTCTATTTGTAAAGTCTGCAAGTGGATATTTGGACCTCTTTGAGGCCTTCGTTGGAAACGGGATTTCTTCATATAACGCTAGACAGAAGAATTCTCAGTAACTTCTTTGTGTTGTGTGTATTCCACTCACAGAGTTGAACCTTTCTTGAGAGAGAGCAGAGTTGAAACACTCTGTTTGTGGAATTTGCTAGTGCAGATTTCAAACGCTTCGAAGACAGTGATAGAAAAGGATATATCTTCGTATTAAAACTAGAGAAAATCATTCTCAGAAAACACTTTGTGATGTGTGTGTTCAACTCACAGAGTTTAACCTTTCTTTAATCGAGCAGTTTGGAAATACACTCTTTGTAAGTCTGCAGCTGGATAATTGTCCCTCTATGAGCCCTTCGTTGGAAACGGGATTTCCTCTTATAATGCTAGACAGAAGAATTCCTCAGTAACTTCTTTGTGTTGTTTGTATTCAACTCACAGATTTGAACCTTCCTTTAGAGAGAGCAGATTTGAAACACTCTGTTTTTGGAATTTGCAAGTGCAGATTACAAGCGCTTCTAGGCCTATGGCAGAAAAGGAAATATCTTCGTATAAAAACTACACAGAATCATTCTCAACAACTACTTTGTGATGTGTGCGTTCAACTCACAGAGTTTAACCTTTCTTTTCATAGAGCAGTTTGGAAACACTCTGTTTGTAAAGTCTGCAGGTGCTTATTTGGACTTCTTTGAGGCCTTCGTTGGAAACGGGATTTCTTCATATAATGCTAGACAGAAGAATTCTCAGTCACTTCTTTGTGTTGTGTGTATTCAAGTCACAGAGTTGAACCTTCCTTTACACAGAGCAGTTTTGAAAAACTCTTTCTGTGGAATTTGCAAGTGGAGATTTCAAGCGATTTGAGGCTAATCTTTGAAATGGAAATATCTTCGTGTAAAAACTACACAGAATCATTGTCAGAAACTGCTTTGTTATGTGTGCGTTCAGCTCACAGAGTTCCACCTTTGTTTTCATAGAGCAGTTTGGAAAGACTCTGTCTGTAAAGTCTGCAAGTGATTACTTGGACCCCTTTGAGGACTTCGTTGGAAGCGGGATTTTTTCATTTACTGCCAGACAGAAGAATTCTCAGTAAATCCTTTGTGTTGTGTGTATTCAACTCACAGAGTGGAACCTTCCTTTATTCAGAGCAGTTTTGAAACACTCTTTTTGTGGAATTTGCAAGTGGAGATTTCAAGCGAATTCACGCCAATCTTAGACATGGAAACATCTTCGTATTAAAAGTACACAGAGTCATTCGCAGAAACTAGATTGTGATGTGTGCCTTCAACTCACAGAGTTTAACCTTTCTTTTCATAGAGCAGTTTGGAAACACTCTATTTGTAAAGTCTGCAAGTGGATATTTGGACCTCTTTGAGGCCTTCGTTGGAAACGGGATTTCTTCATATAACGCTAGACAGAAGAATTCTCAGTAACTTCTTTGTGTTGTGTGTATTCCACTCACAGAGTTGAACCTTTCTTGAGAGAGAGCAGAGTTGAAACACTCTGTTTGTGGAATTTGCTAGTGCAGATTTCAAACGCTTCGAAGACAGTGATAGAAAAGGATATATCTTCGTATTAAAACTAGACAAAATCATTCTCAGAAAAAACTTTGTGATGTGTGTGTTCAACTCACAGAGTTTAACCTTTCTTTAATCGAGCAATTTGGAAATACACTCTTTGTAAGTCTGCAGCTGGATAATTGTCCCTCTATGAGCCCTTCGTTGGAAACGGGATTTCCTCATATAATGCTAGACAGAAGAACTCTCAGTAACTTCTTTGTGTTGTTTGTATTCAACTCACAGATTTGAACCTTCCTTTGGAGAGAGCAGATTTGAAACACTCTGTTTTTGGAATTTGCAAGTGCAGATTGCAAGCGCTTCTAGGCCTATGGCAGAAAAGGAAATATCTTCGTATAAAAACTACACAGAATCATTCTCAACAACTACTTTATGATGTGTGCGTTCAGCTCACAGTAGTTTAACCTTTCTTTTCATAGAGCAGTTTGGAAACACTCTGTTTGTAAAGTCTGCAGGTGCTTATTTGGACTTCTTTGAGGCCTTCGTTGGAAACGGGATTTCTTCATATAATGCTAGACAGAAGAATTCTCAGTCACTTCTTTGTGTTGTGTGTATTCAAGTCACAGAGCTGAACCTTCCTTTACACAGAGCAGTTTTGAAAAACTCTTTCTGTGGAATTTGCAAGTGGAGATTTCAAGCGATTTGAGGCTAATCTTTGAAATGCAAATATCTTCGTGTAAAAACTACACAGAATCATTCTCAGAAACTGCTTTGTTATGTGTGCGTTCAGCTCACAGAGTTCCACCTTTCTTTTCATAGAGCAGTTTGGAAAGACTCTGTCTGTAAAGTCTGCAAGTGATTACTTGGACCCCTTTGAGGACTTCGTTGGAAGCGGGATTTTTTCATTTACTGCTAGACAGAAGAATTCTCAGTAAATCCTTTGTGTTGTGTGTATTCAACTCACAGAGTGGAACCTTCCTTTATTCAGAGCAGTTTTGAAACACTCTTTTTGTGGAATTTGCAAGTGGAGATTTCAAGCGAATTCACGCCAATCTTAGACATGGAAACATCTTCGTATTAAAAGTACACAGAGTCATTCGCAGAAACTAGTTTGTGATGTGTGCCTTCAACTCACGGAGTTTAACCTTTCTTTTCATAGAGCAGTTTGGAAACACTCTATTTGTAAAGTCTGCAAGTGGATATTTGGACCTCTTTGAGGCCTTCGTTGGAAACGGGATTTCTTCATATAACGCTAGACAGAAGAATTCTCAGTAACTTCTTTGTGTTGTGTGTATTCCACTCACAGAGTTGAACCTTTCTTGAGAGAGAGCAGAGTTGAAACACTCTGTTTGTGGAATTTGCTAGTGCAGATTTCAAACGCTTCGAAGACAGTGATAGAAAAGGATATATCTTCGTATTAAAACTAGACAAAATCATTCTCAGAAAACACTTTGTGATGTGTGTGTTCAACTCACAGAGTTTAACCTTTCTTTAATCGAGCAGTTTGGAAATACACTCTTTGTAAGTCTGCAGCTGGATAATTGTCCCTCTATGAGCCCTTCGTTGGAAACGGGATTTCCTCATATAATGCTAGACAGAAGAATTCTCAGTAACTTCTTTGTGTTGTTTGTATTCAACTCACAGATTTGAACCTTCCTTTAGAGAGAGCAGATTTGAAACACTCTGGTTTTGGAATTTGCAAGTGCAGATTACAAGCGCTTCTAGGCCTATGGCAGAAAAGGAAATATCTTCGTATAAAAACTACACAGAATCATTCTCAACAACTACTTTGTGATGTGTGCGTTCAACTCACAGAGTTTAACCTTTCTTTTCATAGAGCAGTTTGGAAACACTCTGTTTGTAAAGTCTGCAGGTGCTTATTTGGACTTCTTTGAGGCCTTCGTTGGAAACGGGATTTCTTCATATAATGCTAGACAGAAGAATTCTCAGTCACTTCTTTGTGTTGTGTGTATTCAAGTCACAGAGTTGAACCTTCCTTTAGACAGAGCAGTTTTGAAAAATTCTTTCTGTGTAATTTGCAAGTGGAGATTTCAAGCGATTTGAGGCTAATCTTTGAAATGGAAATATCTTCGTGTAAAAACTACACAGAATCATTCTCAGAAACTGCTTTGTCATCTGTGCGTTCAGTTCACAGAGTTTCACCTTTCTCTTCATAGAGCAGTTTGGAAAGACTCTGTCTGTAAAGTCTGCAAGTGATTAGTTAGACCCCTTTGAGGCCTTCGTTGGAAGCGGGATTTCTCATTTACTGCTAGACAGAAGAATTCTCAGTAAATCCTTTGTGTTGTGTGTATTCAACTCACAGAGTGGAACCTTCCTTTATTCAGAGCAGTTTTGAAACACTCTTTTTGTGGAATTTGCAAGTGGAGATTTCAAGCGATTTGACGCCAATCTTAGACATGGAAATATCTTCATATTAAAAGTACACAGAGTCATTCGTAGAAACTAGTTTGTGATGTGTGCCTTCAACTCACAGAGTTTAACCTTTCTTTTCATAGAGCAGTTGGGAAACACTCTATTTGTAAAGTCTGCAAGTGGATATTTGGACCTCTTTGAGGCCTTCGTTGGAAACGGGATTTCTTCATATAACGCTAGACAGAAGAATTCTCAGTAACTTCTTTGTGTTGTGTGTATTCAACTCACAGAGTTGAACCTTTCTTTAGAGGGAGCAGAGGTGAAACACTCTTTTTGTGGAATTTGCTAGTGTAGATTTCAAACGCTTCGAAGACAGTGATAGAAAAGGATATATCTTCGTATTAAAAGTAGACAAAATCATTCTCAGAAAACTCTTTGTGATGTGTGTGTTCAACTCACAGAGTTTAACCTTTCTTTTCATAGAGCAGTTTGGAAACACTCTGTTTGTAAAGCCTGCAAGTGCTTTTTTGGACTTCATTGAGGCCTTCGTTGGAAACGGGATTTCTTCATACAACGCTAGACAGAAGAATTCTCAGTAACTTCTTTGTGTTGTGTGTATTCAACTCACAGAGTTGAACCTTTCTTTAGAGAGAGCAGAGTTGAAACACTCTGTTTTTGGAATTTGCAAGTGCAGATTTCAAGCGCTTCTAGGCCTATGGCAGAAAAGGAAATATCTTCGTATAAAAACTACACAGAATCATTCTCAACAACTACTTTGTGATGTGTGCGTTCAACTCACAGAGTTTAACCTTTCTTTTCATAGAGCAGTTTGGAAACACTCTGTTTGTAAAGCCTGCAAGTGCTTTTTTGGACTTCATTGAGGCCTTCGTTGGAAACGGGATTTCTTCATATAATGCTAGACAGAAGAATTCTCAGTCACTTCTTTGTGTTGTGTGTATTCAAGTCACAGAGTTGAACCTTCCTTTAGACAGAGCAGTTTTGAAAAATTCTTTCTGTGGAGTTTGCAAGTGGAGATTTCAAGCGATTTGAGGCTAATCTTTGAAATGGAAATATCTTCGTGTAAAAACTACACAGAAGCATTCTCAGAAACTGCTTTGTCATCTGTGCGTTCAGTTCACAGAGTTTCACCTTTCTCTTCATAGAGCAGTTTGGAAAGACTCTGTCTGTAAAGTCTGCAAGTGATTAGTTAGACCCGTTTGAGGCCTTCGTTAGAAGCGGGATTTCTCATTTACTGCTAGACAGAAGAATTCTCAGTAAATCCTTTGTGTTGTGTGTATTCAACTCACAGAAGTGGAACCTTCCTTTATTCAGAGCAGTTTTGAAAAACACTTTTTGTGGAATTTGCAAGTGGAGATTTCAAGCGATTTGACGTCAATCTTAGACATGGAAATATCTTCATATTAAAAGTACACAGAGTCATTCGTAGAAACTAGTTTGTGATGTGTGCCTTCAACTCACAGAGTTTAACCTTTCTTTTCATAGAGCAGTTTGGAAACACTCTATTTGTAAAGTCTGCAAGTGGATATTTGGACCTCTTTGAGGCCTTCGTTGGAAACGGGATTTCTTCATACAACGCTAGACAGAAGAATTCTCAGTAACTTCTTTGTGTTGTGTGTATTCAACTCACAGAGTTGAACCTTTCTTTAGAGAGAGCAGAGTTGAAACACTCTGTTTTTGGAATTTGCAACTGCAGATTTCAAGCGATTCTAGGCCTATGGCAGAAAAGGAAATATCTTCGTATAAAAACTACACAGAATCATTCTCAACAACTACTTTGTGATGTGTGCGTTCAACTCACAGAGTTTAACCTTTCTTTTCATAGAGCAGTTTGGAAACACTCTGTTTGTAAAGCCTGCAAGTGCTTTTTTGGACTTCATTGAGGCCTTCGTTGGAAACGGGATTTCTTCATATAATGCTAGACAGAAGAATTCTCAGTCACTTCTTTGTGTTGTGTGTATTCAAGTCACAGAGTTGAACCTTCCTTTAGACAGAGCAGTTTTGAAAAATTCTTTCTGTGTAATTTGCAAGTGGAGATTTCAAGCGATTTGAGGCTAATCTTTGAAATGGAAATATCTTCGTGTAAAAACTACACAGAATCATTCTCAGAAACTGCTTTGTCATCTGTGCGTTCAGTTCACAGAGTTTCACCTTTCTCTTCATAGAGCAGTTTGGAAAGACTCTGTCTGTAAAGTCTGCAAGTGATTAGTTAGACCCCTTTGAGGCCTTCGTTGGAAGCGGGATTTCTCATTTACTGCTAGACAGAAGAATTCTCAGTAACTCCTTTGTGTTGTGTGTATTCAACTCACAGAGTGGAACCTTCCTTTATTCAGAGCAGTTTTGAAACACTCTTTTTGTGGAATTTGCAAGTGGAGATTTCAAGCGATTTGACGCCAATCTTAGACATGGAAATATCTTCATATTAAAAGTACACAGAGTCATTCGTAGAAACTAGTTTGTGATGTGTGCCTTCAACTCACAGAGTTTAACCTTTCTTTTCATAGAGCAGTTGGGAAACACTCTATTTGTAAAGTCTGCAAGTGGATATTTGGACCTCTTTGAGGCCTTCGTTGGAAACGGGATTTCTTCATACAACGCTAGACAGAAGAATTCTCAGTAACTTCTTTGTGTTGTGTGTATTCAACTCACAGAGTTGAACCTTTCTTGAGAGAGAGCAGAGTTGAAACACTCTTTCTGTGGAATTTGCTAGTGCAGATTTCAAACGCTTCGAAGACAGTGATAGAAAAGGATATATCTTCGTATTAAAACTAGACAAAATCATTCTCAGAAAACACTTTGTGATGTGTGTGTTCAACTCACAGAGTTTAACCTTTCTTTAATCGAGCAGTTTGGAAATACACTCTTTGTAAGTCTGCAGCTGGATAATTGTCCCTCTATGAGCCCTTCGTTGGAAACGGGATTTCCTCTTATAATGCTAGACAGAAGAATTCTCAGTAACTTCTTTGTGTTGTTTGTATTCAACTCACAGATTTGAACCTTCCTTTAGAGAGAGCAGATTTGAAACACTCTGTTTTTGGAATTTGCAAGTGCAGATTACAAGCGCTTCTAGGCCTATGGCAGAAAAGGAAATATCTTCGTATAAAAACTACACAGAATCATTCTCAACAACTACTTTGTGATGTGTGCGTTCAACTCACAGAGTTTAACCTTTCTTTTCATAGAGCAGTTTGGAAACACTCTGTTTGTAAAGTCTGCAGGTGCTTATTTGGACTTCTTTGAGGCCTTCGTTGGAAACGGGATTTCTTCATATAATGCTAGACAGAAGAATTCTCAGTCACTTCTTTGTGTTGTGTGTATTCAAGTCACAGAGTTGAACCTTCCTTTACACAGAGCAGTTTTGAAAAACTCTTTCTGTGGAATTTGCAAGTGGAGATTTCAAGCGATTTGAGGCTAATCTTTGAAATGGAAATATCTTCGTGTAAAAACTACACAGAATCCTTCTCAGAAACTTCTTTGTTATGTGTGCGTTCAGCTCACAGAGTTCCACCTTTCTTTTCATAGAGCAGTTTGGAAAGACTCTGTCTGTAAAGTCTGCAAGTGATTACTTGGACCCCTTTGAGGACTTCGTTGGAAGCGGGATTTTTTCATTTACTGCTAGACAGAAGAATTCTCAGTAAATCCTTTGTGTTGTGTGTATTCAACTCACAGAGTGGAACCTTCCTTTATTCAGAGCACTTTTGAAACACTCTTTTTGTGGAATTTGCAAGTGGAGATTTCAAGCGAATTCACGCCAATCTTAGACATGGAAACATCTTCGTATTAAAAGTACACAGAGTCATTCGCAGAAACTAGTTTGTGATGTGTGCCTTCAAATCACGGAGTTTAACCTTTCTTTTCATAGAGCAGTTTGGAAACACTCTATTTGTAAAGTCTGCAAGTGGATATTTGGACCTCTTTGAGGCCTTCGTTGGAAACGGGATTTCTTCATATAACGCTAGACAGAAGAATTCTCAGTAACTTCTTTGTGTTGTGTGTATTCAACTCACAGAGTTGAACCTTTCTTGAGAGAGAGCAGAGTTGAAACACTCTGTTTGTGGAATTTGCTAGTGCAGATTTCAAACGCTTCGAAGACAGTGATAGAAAAGGATATATCTTCGTATTAAAACTAGACAAAATCATTCTCAGAAAACACTTTGTGATGTGTGTGTTCAACTCACAGAGTTTAACCTTTCTTTAATCGAGCAGTTTGGAAATACACTCTTTGTAAGTCTGCAGCTGGATAATTGTCCCTCTATGAGCCCTTCGTTGGAAACGGGATTTCCTCTTATAATGCTAGACAGAAGAATTCTCAGTAACTTCTTTGTGTTGTTTGTATTCAACTCACAGATTTGAACCTTCCTTTGGAGAGAGCAGATTTGAAACACTCTGTTTTTGGAATTTGCAAGTGCAGATTGCAAGCGCTTCTAGGCCTATGGCAGAAAATTAAATATCTTCGTATAAAAACTACACAGAATCATTCTCAACAACTACTTTGTGATGTGTGCGTTCACCTCACAGAGCTTAACCTTTCTTTTCATAGAGCAGTTTGGAAACACTCTGTTTGTAAAGTCTGCAGGTGCTTATTTGGACTTCTTTGAGGCCTTCGTTGGAAACGGGATTTCTTCATATAATGCTAGACAGAAGAATTCTCAGTCACTTCTTTGTGTTGTGTGTATTCAAGTCACAGAGTTGAACCTTCCTTTACACAGAGCAGTTTTGAAAAACTCTTTCTGTGGAATTTGCAAGTGGAGATTTCAAGCGATTTGAGGCTAATCTTTGAAATGGAAATATCTTCGTGTAAAAACTACACAGAATCATTGTCAGAAACTGCTTTGTTATGTGTGCGTTCAGCTCACAGAGTTCCACCTTTCTTTTCATAGAGCAGTTTGGAAAGACTCTGTCTGTAAAGTCTGCAAGTGATTACTTGGACCCCTTTGAGGACTTCGTTGGAAGCGGGATTTTTTCATTTACTGCTAGACAGAAGAATTCTCAGTAAATCCTTTGTGTTGTGTGTATTCAACTCACAGAGTGGAACCTTCCTTTATTCAGAGCACTTTTGAAACACTCTTTTTGTGGAATTTGCAAGTGGAGATTTCAAGCGAATTCACGCCAATCTTAGACATGGAAACATCTTCGTATTAAAAGTACACAGAGTCATTCGCAGAAACTAGTTTGTGATGTGTGCCTTCAACTCACGGAGTTTAACCTTTCTTTTCATAGAGCAGTTTGGAAACACTCTATTTGTAAAGTCTGCAAGTGGATATTTGGACCTCTTTGAGGCCTTCGTTGGAAACGGGATTTCTTCATATAACGCTAGACAGAAGAATTCTCAGTAACTTCTTTGTGTTGTGTGTATTCCACTCACAGAGTTGAACCTTTCTTGAGAGAGAGCAGAGTTGAAACACTCTTTCTGTGGAATTTGCTAGTGCAGATTTCAAACGCTTCGAAGACAGTGATAGAAAAGGATATATCTTCGTATTAAAACTAGACAAAATCATTCTCAGAAAACACTTTGTGATGTGTGTGTTCAACTCACAGAGTTTAACCTTTCTGTAATCGAGCAGTTTGGAAATACACTCTTTGTAAGTCTGCAGGTGGATAATTGTCCCTCTATGAGCCCTTCGTTGGAAACGGGATTTCCTCATATAATGCTAGACAGAAGAATTCTCAGTAACTTCTTTGTGTTGTTTGTATTCAACTCACAGATTTGAACTTTCCTTTAGAGAGAGCAGATTTGAAACACTCTGTTTTTGGAATTTGCAAGTGCAGATTGCAAGCGCTTCTAGGCCTATGGCAGAAAAGGAAATATCTTCGTATAAAAACTACACAGAATCATTCTCAACAACTACTTTGTGATGTGTGCGTTCAACTCACAGAGTTTAACCTTTCTTTTCATAGAGCAGTTTGGAAACACTCTGTTTGTAAAGTCTGCAGGTGCTTATTTGGACTTCTTTGAGGCCTTCGTTGGAAACGGGATTTCTTCATATAAGGCTAGACAGAAGAATTCTCAGTCACTTCTTTGTGTTGTGTGTATTCAAGTCACAGAGTTGAACCTTCCTTTACACAGAGCAGTTTTGAAAAACTCTTTCTGTGGAATTTGCAAGTGGAGATTTCAAGCGATTTGAGGCTAACCTTTGAAATGGAAATAGCTTCGTGTAAAAACCACACAGAATCATTGTCAGAAACTGCTTTGTTATGTGTGCGTTCAGCTCACAGAGTTCCACCTTTCTTTTCATAGAGCAGTTTGGAAAGACTCTGTCTGTAAAGTCTGCAAGTGATTACTTGGACCCCTTTGAGGACTTCGTTGGAAGCGGGATTTTTTCATTTACTGCTAGACAGAAGAATTCTCAGTAAATCCTTTGTGTTGTGTGTATTCAACTCACAGAGTGGAACCTTCCTTTATTCAGAGCAGTTTTGAAACACTCTTTTTGTGGAATTTGCAAGTGGAGATTTCAAGCGAATTCACGCCAATCTTAGACATGGAAACATCTTCGTATTAAAAGTACACAGAGTCATTCGCAGAAACTAGTTTGTGATGTGTGCCTTCAACTCACGGAGTTTAACCTTTCTTTTCATAGAGCAGTTTGGAAACACTCTATTTGTAAAGTCTGCAAGTGGATATTTGGACCTCTTTGAGGCCTTCGTTGGAAACGGGATTTCTTCATATAACGCTAGACAGAAGAATTCTCAGTAACTTCTTTGTGTTGTGTGTATTCAACTCACAGAGTTGAACCTTTCTTGAGAGAGAGCAGAGTTGAAACACTCTGTTTGTGGAATTTGCTATTGCAGATTTCAAACGCTTCGAAGACAGTGATAGAAAAGGATATATCTTCGTATTAAAACTAGACAAAATCATTCTCAACAACTACTTTGTGATGTGTGCGTTCAGCTCACAGAGTTTAACCTTTCTTTTCATAGAGCAGTTTGGAAACACTCTGTTTGTAAAGTCTGCAGGTGCTTATTTGGACTTCTTTGAGGCCTTCATTGGAAACGGGATTTCTTCATATAATGCTAGACAGAAGATTCTCAGTCACTTCTTTGTGTTGTGTGTATTCAAGTCACAGAGTTGAACCTTCCTTTACACAGAGCAGTTTTGAAAAACTCTTTCTGTGGAATTTGCAAGTGGAGATTTCAAGCGATTTGAGGCTAATCTTTGAAATGGAAATAGCTTCGTGTAAAAACTACACAGAATCATTCTCAGAAACTGCTTTGTTATGTGTGCGTTCAGCTCACAGAGTTCCACCTTTCTTTTCATAGAGCAGTTTGGAAAGACTCTGTCTGTAAAGTCTGCAAGTGATTACTTGGACCCCTTTGAGGACTTCGTTGGAAGCGGGATTTTTTCATTTACTGCTAGACAGAAGAATTCTCAGTAAATCCTTTGTGTTGTGTGTATTCAACTCACAGAGTGGAACCTTCCTTTATTCAGAGCACTTTTGAAACACTCTTTTTGTGGAATTTGCAAGTGGAGATTTCAAGCGAATTCACGCCAATCTTAGACATGGAAACATCTTCGTATTAAAAGTACACAGAGTCATTCGCAGAAACTAGTTTGTGATGTGTGCCTTCAACTCACGGAGTTTAACCTTTCTTTTCATAGAGCAGTTTGGAAACACTCTATTTGTAAAGTCTGCAAGTGGATATTTGGACCTCTTTGAGGCCTTCGTTGGAAACGGGATTTCTTCATATAACGCTAGACAGAAGAATTCTCAGTAACTTCTTTGTGTTGTGTGTATTCAACTCACAGAGTTGAACCTTTCTTGAGAGAGAGCAGAGTTGAAACACTCTTTCTGTGGAATTTGCTAGTGCAGATTTCAAACGCTTCGAAGACAGTGATAGAAAAGGATATATCTTCGTATTAAAACTAGACAAAATCATTCTCAGAAAACACTTTGTGATGTGTGTGTTCAACTCACAGAGTTTAACCTTTCTTTAATCGAGCAGTTTGGAAATACACTCTTTGTAAGTCTGCAGCTGGATAATTGTCCCTCTATGAGCCCTTCGTTGGAAACGGGATTTCCTCTTATAATGCTAGACAGAAGAATTCTCAGTAACTTCTTTGTGTTGTTTGTATTCAACTCACAGATTTGAACCTTCCTTTAGAGAGAGCAGATTTGAAACACTCTGTTTTCGGAATTTGCAAGTGCAGATTACAAGCGCTTCTAGGCCTATGGCAGAAAAGGAAATATCTTCGTATAAAAACTACACAGAATCATTCTCGACAACTACTTTGTGATGTGTGCGTTCAACTCACAGAGTTTAACCTTTCTTTTCATAGAGCAGTTTGGAAACACTCTGTTTGTAAAGTCTGCAGGTGCTTATTTGGACTTCTTTGAGGCCTTCGTTGGAAACGGGATTTCTTCATATAATGCTAGACAGAAGAATTCTCAGTCACTTCTTTGTGTTGTGTGTATTCAAGTCACAGAGTTGAACCTTCCTTTACACAGAGCAGTTTTGAAAAACTCTTTCTGTGGAATTTGCAAGTGGAGATTTCAAGCGATTTGAGGCTAATCTTTGAAATGGAAATAGCTTCGTGTAAAAACTACACAGAATCATTGTCAGAAACTGCTTTGTTATGTGTGCGTTCAGCTCACAGAGTTCCACCTTTCTTTTCATAGAGCAGTTTGGAAAGACTCTGTCTGTAAAGTCTGCAAGTGATTACTTGGACCCCTTTGAGGACTTCGTTGGAAGCGGGATTTTTTCATTTACTGCTAGACAGAAGAATTCTCAGTAAATCCTTTGTGTTGTGTGTATTCAACTCACAGAGTGGAACCTTCCTTTATTCAGAGCACTTTTGAAACACTCTTTTTGTGGAATTTGCAAGTGGAGATTTCAAGCGAATTCACGCCAATCTTAGACATGGAAACATCTTCGTATTAAAAGTACACAGAGTCATTCGCAGAAACTAGTTTGTGATGTGTGCCTTCAACTCACGGAGTTTAACCTTTCTTTTCATAGAGCAGTTTGGAAACACTCTATTTGTAAAGTCTGCAAGTGGATATTTGGACCTCTTTGAGGCCTTCGTTGGAAACGGGATTTCTTCATATAACGCTAGACAGAAGAATTCTCAGTAACTTCTTTGTGTTGTGTGTATTCAACTCACAGAGTTGAACCTTTCTTGAGAGAGAGCAGAGTTGAAACACTCTGTTTGTGGAATTTGCTAGTGCAGATTTCAAACGCTTCGAAGACAGTGATAGAAAAGGATATATCTTCGTATTAAAACTAGACAAAATCATTCTCAGAAAACACATTGTGATGTGTGTGTTCAACTCACAGAGTTTAACCTTTCTTTAATCGAGCAGTTTGGAAATACACTCTTTGTAAGTCTGCAGCTGGATAATTGTCCCTCTATGAGCCCTTCGTTGGAAACGGGATTTCCTCTTATAATGCTAGACAGAAGAATTCTCAGTAACTTCTTTGTGTTGTTTGTATTCAACTCACAGATTTGAACCTTCCTTTAGAGAGAGCAGATTTGAAACACTCTGTTTTTGGAATTTGCAAGTGCAGATTGCAAGCGCTTCTAGGCCTATGGCAGAAAAGGAAATATCTTCGTATAAAAACTACACAGAATCATTCTCAACAACTACTTTGTGATGTGTGCGTTCAACTCACAGAGTTTAACCTTTCTTTTCATAGAGCAGTTTGGAAACACTCTGTTTGTAAAGTCTGCAGGTGCTTATTTGGACTTCTTTGAGGCCTTCGTTGGAAACGGGATTTCTTCATGTAATGCTAGACAGAAGAATTCTCAGTCACTTCTTTGTGTTGTGTGTATTCAAGTCACAGAGTTGAACCTTCCTTTACACAGAGCAGTTTTGAAAAACTCTTTCTGTGGAATTTGCAAGTGGAGATTTCAAGCGATTTGAGGCTAATCTTTGAAATGGAAATATCTTCGTGTAAAAACTACACAGAATCATTCTCAGAAACTGCTTTGTTATGTGTGCGTTCAGCTCACAGAGTTCCACCTTTCTTTTCATAGAGCAGTTTGGAAAGACTCTGTCTGTAAAGTCTGCAAGTGATTACTTGGACCCCTTTGAGGACTTCGTTGGAAGCGGGATTTTTTCATTTACTGCTAGACAGAAGAATTCTCAGTAAATCCTTTGTGTTGTGTGTATTCAACTCACAGAGTGGAACCTTCCTTTATTCAGAGCACTTTTGAAACACTCTTTTTGTGGAATTTGCAAGTGGAGATTTCAAGCGAATTCACGCCAATCTTAGACATGGAAACATCTTCGTATTAAAAGTACACAGAGTCATTCGCAGAAACTAGTTTGTGATGTGTGCCTTCAACGCACGGAGTTTAACCTTTCTTTTCATAGAGCAGTTTGGAAACACTCTATTTGTAAAGTCTGCAAGTGGATATTTGGACCTCTTTGAGGCCTTCGTTGGAAACGGGATTTCTTCATATAACGCTAGACAGAAGAATTCTCAGTAACTTCTTTGTGTTGTGTGTATTCCACTCACAGAGTTGAACCTTTCTTGAGAGAGAGCAGAGTTGAAACACTCTTTTTGTGGAATTTGCTAGTGCAGATTTCAAACGCTTCGAAGACAGTGATAGAAAAGGATATATCTTCGTATTAAAACTAGACAAAATCATTCTCAGAAAACACTTTGTGATGTGTGTGTTCAACTCACAGAGTTTAACCTTTCTTTAATCGAGCAGTTTGGAAATACACTCTTTGTAAGTCTGCAGCTGGATAATTGTCCCTCTATGAGCCCTTCGTTGGAAACGGGATTTCCTCTTATAATGCTAGACAGAAGAATTCTCAGTAACTTCTTTGTGTTGTTTGTATTCAACTCACAGATTTGAACCTTCCTTTGGAGAGAGCAGATTTGAAACACTCTGTTTTTGGAATTTGCAAGTGCAGATTGCAAGCGCTTCTAGGCCTATGGCAGAAAAGGAAATATCTTCGTATAAAAACTACACAGAATCATTCTCAACAACTACTTTGTGATGTGTGCGTTCAACTCACAGAGTTTAACCTTTCTTTTCATAGAGCAGTTTGGAAACACTCTGTTTGTAAAGTCTGCAGGTGCTTATTTGGACTTCTTTGAGGCCTTCGTTGGAAACGGGATTTCTTCATATAATGCTAGACAGAAGAATTCTCAGTCACTTCTTTGTGTTGTGTGTATTCAAGTCACAGAGTTGAACCTTCCTTTACACAGAGCAGTTTTGAAAAACTCTTTCTGTGGAATTTGCAAGTGGAGATTTCAAGCGATTTGAGGCTAATCTTTGAAATGGAAATAGCTTCGTGTAAAAACTACACAGAATCATTCTCAGAAACTGCTTTGTTATGTGTGCGTTCAGCTCACAGAGTTCCACCTTTCTTTTCATAGAGCAGTTTGGAAAGACTCTGTCTGTAAAGTCTGCAAGTGAATACTTGGACCCCTTTGAGGACTTCGTTGGAAGCGGGATTTTTTCATTTACTGCTAGACAGAAGAATTCTCAGTAAATCCTTTGTGTTGTGTGTATTCAACTCACAGAGTGGAACCTTCCTCTATTCAGAGCTGTTTTGAAACATTCTTTTTGTGGAATTTGCAGGTGGAGATTTCAAGCGAATTCACGCCAATCTTAGACATGGAAACATCTTCGTATTAAAAGTACACAGAGTCATTCGCAGAAACTAGTTTGTGATGTGTGCCTTCAACTCACGGAGTTTAACCTTTCTTTTCATAGAGCAGTTTGGAAACACTCTATTTGTAAAGTCTGCAAGTGGATATTTGGACCTCTTTGAGGCCTTCGTTGGAAACGGGATTTCTTCATATAACGCTAGACAGAAGAATTCTCAGTAACTTCTTTGTGTTGTGTGTATTCCACTCACAGAGTTGAACCTTTCTTGAGAGAGAGCAGAGTTGAAACACTCTGTTTGTGGAATTTGCTAGTGCAGATTTCAAACGCTTCGAAGACAGTGATAGAAAAGGATATATCTTCGTATTAAAACTAGACAAAATCATTCTCAGAAAACTCTTTGTGATGTGTGTGTTCAACTCACAGAGTTTAACCTTTCTTTAATCGAGCAGTTTGGAAATACACTCTTTGTAAGTCTGCAGGTGGATAATTGGCCCTCTTTGAGCCCTTCGTTGGAAACGGGATTTCCTCATATAATGCTAGACAGAAGAATTCTCAGTAACTTCTTTGTGTTGTTTGTATTCAACACACAGATTTGAACCTTCCTTTAGAGAGAGCAGATTTGAAACACTCTGTTTTTGGAATTTGCAAGTGCAGATTTCAAGCGCTTCTAGGCCTATGGCAGCAAAGGAAATATCTTCGTATAAAAACTACACAGAATCATTCTCAGAAAACACTTTGTGATGTGTGTGTTCAACTCACAGAGTTTAACCTTTCTTTAATCGAGCAGTTTGGAAATACACTCTTTGTAAGTCTGCAGCTGGATAATTGTCCCTCTATGAGCCCTTCGTTGGAAACAGGATTTCCTCTTATAATGCTAGACAGAAGAATTCTCAGTAACTTCTTTGTGTTGTTTGTATTCAACTCACAGATTTGAACCTTCCTTTAGAGAGAGCAGATTTGAAACACTCTGTTTTTGGAATTTGCAAGTGCAGATTACAAGGGCTTCTAGGCCTATGGCAGAAAAGGAAATATCTTCGTATAAAAACTACACAGAATCATTCTCAACAACTACTTTGTGATGTGTGCGTTCAACTCACAGAGTTTAACCTTTCTTTTCATAGAGCAGTTTGGAAACACTCTGTTTGTAAAGTCTGCAGGTGCTTATTTGGACTTCTTTGAGGCCTTCGTTGGAAACGGGATTTCTTCATGTAATGCTAGACAGAAGAATTCTCAGTCACTTCTTTGTGTTGTGTGTATTCAAGTCACAGAGTTGAACCTTCCTTTGCACAGAGCAGTTTTGAAAAACTCTTTCTGTGGAATTTGCAAGTGGAGATTTCAAGCGATTTGAGGCTAATCTTTGAAATGGAAATAGCTTCGTGTAAAAACTACACAGAATCATTCTCAGAAACTTCTTTGTTATGTGTGCGTTCAGCTCACAGAGTTCCACCTTTCTTTTCATAGAGCAGTTTGGAAAGACTCTGTCTGTAAAGTCTGCAAGTGATTACTTGGACCCCTTTGAGGACTTCGTTGGAAGCGGGATTTTTTCATTTACTGCTAGACAGAAGAATTCTCAGTAAATCCTTTGTGTTGTGTGTATTCAACTCACAGAGTGGAACCTTCCTTTATTCAGAGCAGTTTTGAAACACTCTTTTTGTGGAATTTGCAAGTGGAGATTTCAAGCGAATTCACGCCAATCTTAGACATGGAAACATCTTCGTATTAAAAGTACACAGAGTCATTCGCAGAAACTAGTTTTTGATGTGTGCCTTCAACTCACGGAGTTTAACCTTTCTTTTCATAGAGCAGTTTGGAAACACTCTCTTTGTAAAGTCTGCAAGTGGATATTTGGACCTCCTTTGAGGCCTTCGTTGGAAACGGGATTTCTTCATATAACGCTAGACAGAAGAATTCTCAGTAACTTCTTTGTGTTGTGTGTATTCCACTCACAGAGTTGAACCTTTCTTGAGAGAGAGCAGAGTTGAAACACTCTTTCTGTGGAATTTGCTAGTGCAGATTTCAAACGCTTCGAAGACAGTGATAGAAAAGGATATATCTTCGTATTAAAACTAGACAAAAGCATTCTCAGAAAACACTTTGTGATGTGTGTGTTCAACTCACAGAGTTTAACCTTTCTTTAATCGAGCAGTTTGGAAATACACTCTTTGTAAGTCTGCAGCTGGATAATTGTCCCTCTAGGAGCCCTTCGTTGGAAACGGGATTTCCTCTTATAATGCTAGACAGAAGAATTCTCAGTAACTTCTTTGTGTTGTTTGTATTCAACTCACAGATTTGAACCTTCCTTTAGAGAGAGCAGATTTGAAACACTCTGTTTTTGGAATTTGCAAGTGGAGATTACAAGCGCTTCTAGGCCTATGGCAGAAAAGGAAATATCTTCGTATAAAAACTACACAGAAATCATTCTCGACAACTACTTTGTGATGTGTGCGTTCAACTCACAGAGTTTAACCTTTCTTTTCATAGAGCAGTTTGGAAACACTCTGTTTGTAAAGTCTGCAGGTGCTTATTTGGACTTCTTTGAGGCCTTCGTTGGAAACGGGATTTATTCATGTAATGCTAGACAGAAGAATTCTCAGTCACTTCTTTGTGTTGTGTGTATTCAAGTCACATAGTTGAACTTTCCTTTACACAGAGCAGTTTTGAAAAACTCTTTCTGTGGAATTTGCAAGTGGAGATTTCAAGCGATTTGAGGCTAATCTTTGAAATGGAAATAGCTTCGTGTAAAAACTACACAGAATCATTCTCAGAAACTGCTTTGTTATGTGTGCGTTCAGCTCACAGAGTTCCACCTTTCTTTTCATAGAGCAGTTTGGAAAGACTCTGTCTGTAAAGTCTGCAAGTGATTACTTGGACCCCTTTGAGGACTTCGTTGGAAGCGGGATTTTTTCATTTACTGCTAGACAGAAGAATTCTCAGTAAATCCTTTGTGTTGTGTGTATTCAACACACAGAGTGGAACCTTCCTTTATTCAGAGCAGTTTTGAAACACTCTTTTTGTGGAATTTGCAAGTGGAGATTTCAAGCGAATTCACGCCAATCTTAGACATGGAAACATCTTCGTATTAAAAGTACACAGAGTCATTCGCAGAAACTAGTTTGTGATGCGTGCCTTCAACTCACAGAGTTTAACCTTTCTTTTCATAGAGCAGTTTGGAAACACTCTATTTGTAAAGTCTGCAAGTGGATATTTGGACCTCTTTGAGGCCTTCGTTGGAAACGGGATTTCTTCATATAACGCTAGACAGAAGAATTCTCAGTAACTTCTTTGTGTTGTGTGTATTCCACTCACAGAGTTGAACCTTTCTTGAGAGAGAGCAGAGTTGAAACACTCTTTCTGTGGAATTTGCTAGTGCAGATTTCAAACGCTTCGAAGACAGTGATAGAAAAGGATATATCTTCGTATTAAAACTAGACAAAATCATTCTCAGAAAACACTTTGTGATGTGTGTGTTCAACTCACAGAGTTTAACCTTTCTTTAATCGAGCAGTTTGGAAATACACTCTTTGTAAGTCTGCAGCTGGATAATTGTCCCTCTATGAGCCCTTCGTTGGAAACGGGATTTCCTCTTATAATGCTAGACAGAAGAATTCTCAGTAACTTCTTTGTGTTGTTTGTATTCAACTCACAGATTTGAACCTTCCTTTGGAGAGAGCAGATTTGAAACACTCTGTTTTTGGAATTTGCAAGTGCAGATTGCAAGCGCTTCTAGGCCTATGGCAGAAAAGGAAATATCTTCGTATAAAAACTACACAGAATCATTCTCAACAACTACTTTGTGATGTGTGCGTTCAACTCACAGAGTTTAACCTTTCTTTTCATAGAGCAGTTTGGAAACACTCTGTTTGTAAAGTCTGCAGGTGCTTATTTGGACTTCTTTGAGGCCTTCGTTGGAAACGGGATTTCTTCATATAATGCTAGACAGAAGAATTCTCAGTCACTTCTTTGTGTTGTGTGTATTCAAGTCACAGAGTTGAACCTTCCTTTACACAGAGCAGTTTTGAAAAACTCTTTCTGTGGAATTTGCAAGTGGAGATTTCAAGCGATTTGAGGCTAATCTTTGAAATGGAAATATCTTCGTGTAAAAACTACACAGAATCATTCTCAGAAACTGCTTTGTTATGTGTGCGTTCAGCTCACAGAGTTCCACCTTTCTTTTCATAGAGCAGTTTGGAAAGACTCTGTCTGTAAAGTCTGCAAGTGATTACTTGGACCCCTTTGAGGACTTCGTTGGAAGCAGGATTTTTTCATTTACTGCTAGACAGAAGAATTCTCAGTAAATCCTTTGTGTTGTGTGTATTCAACTCACAGAGTGGAACCTTCCTGTATTCAGAGCAGTTTTGAAACACTCTTTTTGTGGAATTTGCAAGTGGAGATTTCAAGCGAATTCACGCCAATGCTTAGACATGGAAACATCTTCGTATTAAAAGTACACAGAGTCATTCGCAGAAACTAGTTTGTGATGTGTGCCTTCAACTCACGGAGTTTAACCTTTCTTTTCATAGAGCAGTTTGGAAACACTCTATTTGTAAAGTCTGCAAGTGGATATTTGGACCTCTTTGAGGCCTTCGTTGGAAACGGGATTTCTTCATATAACGCTAGACAGAAGAATTCTCAGTAACTTCTTTGTGTTGTGTGTATTCAACTCACAGAGTTGAACCTTTCTTGAGAGAGAGCAGAGTTGAAACACTCTGTTTGTGGAATTTGCTAGTGCAGATTTCAAACGCTTCGAAGACAGTGATAGAAAAGGATATATCTTCGTATTAAAACTAGACAAAATCATTCTCAGAAAACACTTTGTGATGTGTGTGTTCAACTCACAGAGTTTAACCTTTCTTTAATCGAGCAGTTTGGAAATACACTCTTTGTAAGTCTGCAGCTGGATAATTGTCCCTCTATGAGCCCTTCGTTGGAAACAGGATTTCCTCTTATAATGCTAGACAGAAGAATTCTCAGTAACTTCTTTGTGTTGTTTGTATTCAACTCACAGATTTGAACCTTCCTTTAGAGAGAGCAGATTTGAAACACTCTGTTTTTGGAATTTGCAAGTGCAGATTACAAGCGCTTCTAGGCCTATGGCAGAAAAGGAAATATCTTCGTATAAAAACTACACAGAATCATTCTCAACAACTACTTTGTGATGTGTGCGTTCAACTCACAGAGTTTAACCTTTCTTTTCATAGAGCAGTTTGGAAACACTCTGTTTGTAAAGTCTGCAGGTGCTTATTTGGACTTCTTTGAGGCCTTCTTTGGAAACGGGATTTCTTCATGTAATGCTAGACAGAAGAATTCTCAGTCACTTCTTTGTGTTGTGTGTATTCAAGTCACAGAGTTGAACCTTCCTTTACACAGAGCAGTTTTGAAAAACTCTTTCTGTGGAATTTGCAAGTGGAGATTTCAAGCGATTTGAGGCTAATCTTTGAAATGGAAATATCTTCGTGTAAAAACTACACAGAATCATTCTCAGAAACTGCTTTGTTATGTGTGCGTTCAGCTCACAGAGTTCCACCTTTCTTTTCATAGAGCAGTTTGGAAAGACTCTGTCTGTAAAGTCTGCAAGTGATTACTTGGACCCCTTTGAGGACTTCGTTGGAAGCGGGATTTTTTCATTTACTGCTAGTCAGAAGAATTCTCAGTAAATCCTTTGTGTTGTGTGTATTCAACTCACAGAGTGGAACCTTCCTTTATTCAGAGCAGTTTTGAAACACTCTTTTTGTGGAATTTGCAAGTGGAGATTTCAAGCGAATTCACGCCAATCTTAGACATGGAAACATCTTCGTATTAAAAGTACACAGAGTCATTCGCAGAAACTAGTTTGTGATGTGTGCCTTCAACTCACGGAGTTTAACCTTTCTTTTCATAGAGCAGTTTGGAAACACTCTATTTCTAAAGTCTGCATGTGGATATTTGGACCTCTTTGAGGCCTTCGTTGGAAACGGGATATCTTCATATAACGCTAGACAGAAGAATTCTCAGTAACTTCTTTGTGTTGTGTGTATTCCACTCACAGAGTTGAACCTTTCTTGAGAGAGAGCAGAGTTGAAACACTCTGTTTGTGGAATTTGCTAGTGCAGATTTCAAACGCTTCGAAGACAGTGATAGAAAAGGATATATCTTCGTATTAAAACTAGACAAAATCATTCTCAGAAAACACTTTGTGATGTGTGTGTTCAACTCACAGAGTTTAACCTTTCTTTAATCGAGCAGTTTGGAAATACACTCTTTGTAAGTCTGCAGCTGGATAATTGTCCCTCTATGAGCCCTTCGTTGGAAACGGGATTTCCTCTTATAATGCTAGACAGAAGAATTCTCAGTAACTTCTTTGTGTTGTTTGTATTCAACTCACAGATTTGAACCTTCCTTTGGAGAGAGCAGATTTGAAACACTCTGTTTTTGGAATTTGCAAGTGCAGATTGCAAGCGCTTCTAGGCCTATGGCAGAAAAGGAAATATCTTCGTATAAAAACTACACAGAATCATTCTCAACAACTACTTTGTGATGTGTGCGTTCAGCTCACAGAGTTTAACCTTTCTTTTCATAGAGCAGTTTGGAAACACTCTGTTTGTAAAGTCTGCAGGTGCTTATTTGGACTTCTTTGAGGCCTTCGTTGGAAACGGGATTTCTTCATATAATGCTAGACAGAAGAATTCTCAGTCACTTCTTTGTGTTGTGTGTATTCAAGTCACAGAGTTGAACCTTCCTTTACACAGAGCAGTTTTGAAAATCTCTTTCTGTGGAATTTGCAAGTGGAGATTTCAAGCGATTTGAGGCTAATCTTTGAAATGGAAATATCTTCGTGTAAAAACTACACAGAATCATTCTCAGAAACTGCTTTGTTATGTGTGCGTTCAGCTCACAGAGTTCCACCTTTCTTTTCATAGAGCAGTTTGGAAAGACTCTGTCTGTAAAGTCTGCAAGTGATTACTTGGACCCCTTTGAGGACTTCGTTGGAAGCGGGATTTTTTCATTTACTGCTAGACAGAAGAATTCTCAGTAAATCCTTTGTGTTGTGTGTATTCAACTCACAGAGTGGAACCTTCCTTTATTCAGAGCAGTTTTGAAACACTCTTTTTGTGGAATTTGCAAGTGGAGATTTCAAGCGAATTCACGCCAATCTTAGACATGGAAACATCTTCGTATTAAAAGTACACAGAGTCATTCGCAGAAACTAGTTTGTGATGTGTGCCTTCAACTCACGGAGTTTAACCTTTCTTTTCATAGAGCAGTTTGGAAACACTCTATTTGTAAAGTCTGCAAGTGGATATTTGGACCTCTTTGAGGCCTTCGTTGGAAACGGGATTTCTTCATATAACGCTAGACAGAAGAATTCTCAGTAACTTCTTTGTGTTGTGTGTATTCAACTCACAGAGTTGAACCTTTCTTGAGAGAGAGCAGAGTTGAAACACTCTGTTTGTGGAATTTGCTAGTGCAGATTTCAAACGCTTCGAAGACAGTGATAGAAAAGGATATATCTTCGTATTAAAACTAGACAAAATCATTCTCAGAAAACACTTTGTGATGTGTGTGTTCAACTCACAGAGTTTAACCTTTCTTTAATCGAGCAGTTTGGAAATACACTCTTTGTAAGTCTGCAGCTGGATAATTGTCCCTCTATGAGCCCTTCGTTGGAAACAGGATTTCCTCTTATAATGCTAGACAGAAGAATTCTCAGTCACTTCTTTGTGTTGTGTGTATTCAAGTCACAGAGTTGAACCTTCCTTTAGACAGAGCAGTTTTGAAAAATTCTTTCTGTGGAGTTTGCAAGTGGAGATTTCAAGCGATTTGAGGCTAATCTTTGAAATGGAAATATCTTCGTGTAAAAACTACACAGAATCATTCTCAGAAACTGCTTTGTCATCTGTGCGTTAGTCCACAGAGTTTCACCTTTCTCTTCATAGAGCAGTTTGGAAAGACTCTGTCTGTAAAGTCTGCAAGTGATTAGTTAGACCCCTTTGAGGCCTTCGTTGGAAGCGGGATTTCTCATTTACTGCTAGACAGAAGAATTCTCAGTAAATCCTTTGTGTTGTGTGTATTCAACTCACAGAGTGGAACCTTCCTTTATTCAGAGCAGTTTTGAAACACTCTTTTTGTGGAATTTGCAAGTGGAGATTTCAAGCGATTTGACGCCAATCTTAGACATGGAAATATCTTCATATTAAAAGTACACAGAGTCATTCGTAGAAACTAGTTTGTGATGTGTGCCTTCAACTCACAGAGTTTAACCTTTCTTTTCATAGAGCAGTTGGGAAAAACTCTATTTGTAAAGTCTGCAAGTGGATATTTGGACCTCTTTGAGGCCTTCGTTGGAAACGGGATTTCTTCATATAACGTTAGACAGAAGAATTCTCAGTAACTTCTGTGTGTTGTGTGTATTCAACTCACAGAGTTGAACCTTTCTTTAGAGGGAGCAGAGGTGAAACACTCTTTTTGTGGAATTTGCTAGTGTAGATTTCAAACGCTTCGAAGACAGTGATAGAAAAGGGTATATCTTCGTATTAAAAGTAGACAAAATCATTCTCAGAAAACTCTTTGTGATGTGTGTGTTCAACTCACAGAGTTTAACCTTTCTTTTCATAGAGCAGTTTGGAAACACTCTGTTTGTAAAGCCTGCAAGTGCTTTTTTGGACTTCATTGAGGCCTTCGTTGGAAACGGGATTTCTTCATACAACGCTAGACAGAAGAATTCTCAGTAACTTCTTTGTGTTGTGTGTATTCAACTCACAGAGTTGAACCTTTCTTTAGAGAGAGCAGAGTTGAAACACTCTGTTTTTGGAATTTGCAAGTGCAGATTTCAAGCGATTCTAGGCCTATGGCAGAAAAGGAAATATCTTCGTATAAAAACTACACAGAATCATTCTCAACAACTACTTTGTGATGTGTGCGTTCAACTCACAGAGTTTAACCTTTCTTTTCATAGAGCAGTTTGGAAACACTCTGTTGGTAAAGCCTGCAAGTGCTTTTTTGGACTTCATTGAGGCCTTCGTTGGAAACGGGATTTCTTCATATAATGCTAGACAGAAGAATTCTCAGTCACTTCTTTGTGTTGTGTGTATTCAAGTCACAGAGTTGAACCTTCCTTTACACAGAGCAGTTTTGAAAAACTCTTTCTGTGGAATTTGCAAGTGGAGATTTCAAGCGATTTGAGGCTAATCTTTGAAATGGAAATAGCTTCGTGTAAAAACTACACAGAATCATTCTCAGAAACTTCTTTGTTATGTGTGCGTTCAGCTCACAGAGTTCCACCTTTCTTTTCATAGAGCAGTTTGGAAAGACTCTGTCTGTAAAGTCTGCAAGTGATTACTTGGACCCCTTTGAGGACTTCGTTGGAAGCGGGATTTTTTCATTTACTGCTAGACAGAAGAATTCTCAGTAAATCCTTTGTGTTGTGTGTATTCAACTCACAGAGTGGAACCTTCCTCTATTCAGAGCTGTTTTGAAACATTCTTTTTGTGGAATTTGCAGGTGGAGATTTCAAGCGAATTCACGCCAATCTTAGACATGGAAACATCTTCGTATTAAAAGTACACAGAGTCATTCGCAGAAACTAGTTTGTGATGTGTGCCTTCAACTCACGGAGTTTAACCTTTCTTTTCATAGAGCAGTTTGGAAACACTCTATCTGTAAAGTCTGCAAGTGGATATTTGGACCTCTTTGAGGCCTTCGTTGGAAACGGGATTTCTTCATATAACGCTAGACAGAAGAATTCTCAGTAACTTCTTTGTGTTGTGTGTATTCCACTCACAGAGTTGAACCTTTCTTGAGAGAGAGCAGAGTTGAAACACTCTGTTTGTGGAATTTGCTAGTGCAGATTTCAAACGCTTCGAAGACAGTGATAGAAAAGGATATATCTTCGTATTAAAACTAGACAAAATCATTCTCAGAAAACACTTTGTGATGTGTGTGTTCAACTCACAGAGTTTAACCTTTCTTTAATCGAGCAGTTTGGAAATACACTCTTTGTAAGTCTGCAGCTGGATAATTGTCCCTCTATGAGCCCTTCGTTGGAAACGGGATTTCCTCTTATAATGCTAGACAGAAGAATTCTCAGTAACTTCTTTGTGTTGTTTGTATTCAACTCACAGATTTGAACCTTCCTTTAGAGAGAGCAGATTTGAAACACTCTGGTTTTGGAATTTGCAAGTGCAGATTACAAGCGCTTCTAGGCCTATGGCAGAAAAGGAAATATCTTCGTATAAAAACTACACAGAATCATTCTCAACAACTACTGTGTGATGTGTGCGTTCAACTCACAGAGTTTAACCTTTCTTTTCATAGAGCAGTTTGGAAACACTCTGTTTGTAAAGTCTGCAGGTGCTTATTTGGACTTCTTTGAGGCCTTCGTTGGAAACGGGATTTCTTCATATAATGCTAGACAGAAGAATTCTCAGTCACTTCTTTGTGTTGTGTGTATTCAAGTCACAGAGTTGAACTTTCCTTTACACAGAGCAGTTTTGAAAAACTCTTTCTGTGGAATTTGCAAGTGGAGATTTCAAGCGATTTGAGGCTAATACTTTGAAATGGAAATAGCTTCGTGTAAAAACTACACAGAATCATTCTCAGAAACTGCTTTGTTATGTGTGCGTTCAACTCACAGAGTTTCACCTTTCCTTTCATAGAGCAGTTTGGAAAGACTCTGTCTGTAAACTCTGCAAGTGAATACTTGGACCCCTTTGAGGACTTCGTTGGAAGCTTCATTTTTTCACTTACTGCTAGACAGAAGAATTCTCAGTAAATCCTTTGTGTTATGTGTATTCAACTCACAGAGTTGAACCTTCCTTTATTCAGAGCAGTTTTGAAACACTCTTTTTGTGGAATTTGTAAGTGGAGATTTCAAGCGATTTGACGCCAATTTAGACATGGAAATATCTTCGTATTAAAACTACACAGAGTCATTCGTAAAAACTAGTTTGTGATGTGTGCCTTCAACTCACAGAGTTTAACCTTTCTTTTCATAGAGCAGTTTGGAAACACTCTATTTGTAAAGTCTGCAAGTGGATATTTGGACCTCCTTTGAGGCCTTCGTTGGAAACGGGATTTCTTCATACAACGCTAGACAGAAGAATTCTCAGTAACTTCTTTGTGTTGTGTGTATTCAACTCACAGAGTTGAACCTTTCTTTAGAGAGAGCAGAGTTGAAACACTCTGTTTTTGGAATTTGCAACTGCAGATTTCAAGCGATTCTAGGCCTATGGCAGAAAAGGAAATATCTTCGTATAAAAACTACACAGAATCATTCTCAACAACTACTTTGTGATGTGTGCGTTCAACTCACAGAGTTTAACCTTTCTTTTCATAGAGCAGTTTGGAAACACTCTGTTTGTAAAGCCTGCAAGTGCTTTTTTGGACTTCATTGAGGCCTTCGTTGGAAACGGGATTTCTTCATGTAATGCTAGACAGAAGAATGCTCAGTCACTTCTTTGTGTTGTGTGTATTCAAGTCACAGAGTTGAACCTTCCTTTAGACAGAGCAGTTTTGAAAAATTCTTTCTGTGGAGTTTGCAAGTGGAGATTTCAAGCGATTTGAGGCTAATCTTTGAAATGGAAATATCTTCGTGTAAAAACTACACAGAATCATTCTCAGAAACTGCTTTGTCATCTGTGCGTTCAGTTCACAGAGTTTCACCTTTCTCTTCATAGAGCAGTTTGGAAAGACTCTGTCTGTAAAGTCTGCAAGTGATTAGTTAGACCCCTTTGAGGCCTTCGTTGGAAGCGGGATTTCTCATTTACTGCTAGACAGAAGAATTCTCAGTAAATCCTTTGTGTTGTGTGTATTCAACTCACAGAGTGGAACCTTCCTTTATTCAGAGCAGTTTTGAAACACTCTTTTTGTGGAATTTGCAAGTGGAGATTTCAAGCGATTTGACGCCAATCTTAGACATGGAAATATCTTCATATTAAAAGTACACAGAGTCATTCGTAGAAACTAGTTTGTGATGTGTGCCTTCAACTCACAGAGTTTAACCTTTCTTTTCATAGAGCAGTTGGGAAAAACTCTATTTGTAAAGTCTGCAAGTGGATATTTGGACCTCTTTGAGGCCTTCGTTGGAAACGGGATTTCTTCATATAACGTTAGACAGAAGAATTCTCAGTAACTTCTTTGTGTTGTTTGTATTCAACTCACAGATTTGAACCTTCCTTTAGAGGGAGCAGATTTGAAACACTCTGTTTTTGGAATTTGCAAGTGCAGATTGCAAGCGCTTCTAGGCCTAAGGCAGAAAAGGAAATATCTTCGTATAAAAACTACACAGAATCATTCTCAACAACTACTTTGTGATGTGTGCGTTCAACTCACAGACTTTAACCTTTCTTTTCAT
Organism: Homo sapiens; assembly: GCF_000001405.40. Classification (NCBI taxonomy): domain Eukaryota; kingdom Metazoa; phylum Chordata; class Mammalia; order Primates; family Hominidae; genus Homo; species Homo sapiens. The sequence goes on from NC_000010.11 coordinate 40,579,569, forward strand.
AGAGCAGTTTGGAAACACTCTGTTTGTAAAGTCTGCAGGTGCTTATTTGGACTTCTTTGAGGCCTTCGTTGGAAACGGGATTTCTTCATATAATGCTAGACAGAAGAATTCTCAGTCACTTCTTTGTGTTGTGTGTATTCAAGTCACAGAGTTGAACCTTCCTTTACACAGAGCAGTTTTGAAAAATTCTTTCTGTGGAATTTGCAAGTGGAGATTTCAAGCGATTTGAGGCTAATCTTTGAAATGGAAATATCTTCGTGTAAAAACTACACAGAATCATTCTCAGAAACTGCTTTGTTATGTGTGCGTTCAGCTCACAGAGTTCCACCTTTCTTTTCATAGAGCAGTTTGGAAAGACTCTGTCTGTAAAGTCTGCAAGTGATTACTTGGACCCCTTTGAGGACTTCGTTGGAAGCGGGATTTTTTCATTTACTGCCAGACAGAAGAATTCTCAGTAAATCCTTTGTGTTGTGTGTACTCAACTCACAGAGTGGAACCTTCCTTTATTCAGAGCAGTTTTGAAACACTCTTTTTGTGGAATTTGCAAGTGGAGATTTCAAGCGAATTCACGCCAATCTTAGACATGGAAACATCTTCGTATTAAAAGTACACAGAATCATTCTCAGAAAACTCTTTGTGATGTGTGTGTTCAACTCACAGAGTTTAACCTTTCTTTAATCGAGCAGTTTGGAAACACACTCTTTGTAAGTCTGCAGGTGGATATTTGGCCCTCTTTGAGCCCTTCTTTGGAAACGGGATTTCCTCTTATAATGCTAGACAGAAGAATTCTCAGTAACTTCTCTGTGTTGTTTGTATTCAACACACAGATTTGAACCTTCCTTTAGAGAGAGCAGATTTGAAACACTCTGTTTTTGGAATTTGCAAGTGCAGATTTCAAGCGATTCTAGGCCTATGGCAGAAAAGGAAATATCTTCGTATAAAAACTACACAGAATCATTCTCAACAACTACTTTGTGATGTGTGCGTTCAACTCACAGAGTTTAACCTTTCTTTTCATAGAGCAGTTTGGAAACACTCTGTTTGTAAAGTCTGCAGGTGCTTATTTGGACTTCTTTGAGGCCTTCGTTGGAAACGGGATTTCTTCATATAATGCTAGACAGAAGAATTCTCAGTCACTTCTTTGTGTTGTGTGTATTCAAGTCACAGAGTTGAACCTTCCTTTACACAGAGCAGTTTTGAAAAACTCTTTCTGTGGAATTTGCAAGTGGAGATTTCAAGCGATTTGAGGCTAATCTTTGAAATGGAAATAGCTTCGTGTAAAAACTACACAGAATCATTGTCAGAAACTGCTTTGTTATGTGTGCGTTCAGCTCACAGAGTTCCACCTTTCTTTTCATAGAGCAGTTTGGAAAGACTCTGTCTGTAAAGTCTGCAAGTGATTACTTGGACCCCTTTGAGGACTTCGTTGGAAGCGGGATTTTTTCATTTACTGCTAGACAGAAGAATTCTCAGTAAATCCTTTGTGTTGTGTGTATTCAACTCACAGAGTGGAACCTTCCTTTATTCAGAGCAGTTTTGAAACACTCTTTTTGTGGAATTTGCAAGTGGAGATTTCAAGCGAATTCACGCCAATCTTAGACATGGAAACATCTTCGTATTAAAAGTACACAGAGTCATTCGCAGAAACTAGTTTGTGATGTGTGCCTTCAACTCACGGAGTTTAACCTTTCTTTTCATAGAGCAGTTTGGAAACACTCTATTTGTAAAGTCTGCAAGTGGATATTTGGACCTCTTTGAGGCCTTCGTTGGAAACGGGATTTCTTCATATAACGCTAGACAGAAGAATTCTCAGTAACTTCTTTGTGTTGTGTGTATTCCACTCACAGAGTTGAACCTTTCTTGAGAGAGAGCAGAGTGGAAACACTCTGTTTGTGGAATTTGCTAGTGCAGATTTCAAACGCTTCGAAGACAGTGATAGAAAAGGATATATCTTCGTATTAAAACTAGACAAAATCATTCTCAGAAAACACTTTGTGATGTGTGTGTTCAACTCACAGAGTTTAACCTTTCTTTAATCGAGCAGTTTGGAAATACACTCTTTGTAAATCTGCAGCTGGATAATTGTCCCTCTATGAGCCCTTCGTTGGAAACGGGATTTCCTCTTATAATGCTAGACAGAAGAATTCTCAGTCACTTCTTTGTGTTGTGTGTATTCAAGTCACAGAGTTGAACCTTCCTTTACACAGAGCAGTTTTGAAAAACTCTTTCTGTGGAATTTGCAAGTGGAGATTTCAAGCGATTTGAGGCTAATCTTTGAAATGGAAATATCTTCGTGTAAAAACTACACAGAATCATTCTCAGAAACTGCTTTGTTATGTGTGCGTTCAGCTCACAGAGTTCCACCTTTCTTTTCATAGAGCAGTTTGGAAAGACTCTGTCTGTAAAGTCTGCAAGTGATTACTTGGACCCCTTTGAGGACTTCGTTGGAAGCGGGATTTTTTCATTTACTGCTAGACAGAAGAATTCTCAGTAAATCCTTTGTGTTGTGTGTATTCAACTCACAGAGTGGAACCTTCCTTTATTCAGAGCACTTTTGAAACACTCTTTTTGTGGAAATTGCAAGTGGAGATTTCAAGCGAATTCACGCCAATCTTAGACATGGAAACATCTTCGTATTAAAAGTACACAGAGTCATTCGTAGAAACTAGTTTGTGATGTGTGCCTTCAACTCACAGAGTTTAACCTTTCTTTTCATAGAGCAGTTGGGAAACACTCTATTTGTAAAGTCTGCAAGTGGATATTTGGACCTCTTTGAGGCCTTCGTTGGAAACGGGATTTCTTCATATAACGCTAGACAGAAGAATTCTCAGTAACTTCTTTGTGTTGTGTGTATTCAACTCACAGAGTTGAACCTTTCTTTAGAGGGAGCAGAGGTGAAACACTCTTTTTGTGGAATTTGCTAGTGTAGATTTCAAACGCTTCGAAGACAGTGATAGAAAAGGATATATCTTCGTATTAAAAGTAGACAAAATCATTCTCAGAAAACTCTTTGTGATGTGTGTGTTCAACTCACAGAGTTTAACCTTTCTTTTCATAGAGCAGTTTGGAAACACTCTGTTTGTAAAGCCTGCAAGTGCTTTTTTGGGCTTCATTGAGGCCTTCGTTGGAAACGGGATTTCTTCATACAACGCTAGACAGATATATATAATATGTTATATATATTATATATTTTATATATATATATATATATATATATATATATATATATATATATACACACACACACACACACATCCATTTTTTTTTTGAGTCATGGTCTTGCTCTGTCACTGAGGCTGGAGTGCAGTAGCATGATCATAGGTTGCTACAGCCTTGAACTCCTGAGGCACGAGCCTCTAGCTTTTCCCCCTCCCCTCCCAACCCCTCCCTTCTTCTTCCCACCAAAAAAAAAAAAAACACAGGGTTGAACCTTCCTTTAGACAGAGCAGTTTTGAAAAATTCTTTCTGTGGAGTTTGCAAGTGGAGATTTCAAGCGATTTGAGGCTAATCTTTGAAATGGAAATATCTTCGTGTAAAAACTACACAGAAG
>NC_000010.11:40583218-40722755 GCF_000001405.40 Homo sapiens
ATCATTCTCAGAAACTGCTTTGTTATGTGTGCGTTCAGCTCACAGAGTTCCACCTTTCTTTTCATAGAGCAGTTTGGAAAGACTCTGTCTGTAAAGTCTGCAAGTGATTACTTGGACCCCTTTGAGGACTTCGTTGGAAGCGGGATTTTTTCATTTACTGCTAGACAGAAGAATTCTCAGTAAATCCTTTGTGTTGTGTGTATTCAACTCACAGAGTGGAACCTTCCTCTATTCAGAGCAGTTTTGAAACATTCTTTTTGTGGAATTTGCAGGTGGAGATTTCAAGCGAATTCACGCCAATCTTAGACATGGAAACATCTTCGTATTAAAAGTACACAGAGTCATTCGCAGAAACTAGTTTGTGATGTGTGCCTTCAACTCACGGAGTTTAACCTTTCTTTTCATAGAGCAGTTTGGAAACACTCTATTTGTAAAGTCTGCAAGTGGATATTTGGACCTCTTTGAGGCCTTCGTTGGAAATGGGATTTCTTCATATAACGCTAGACAGAAGAATTCTCAGTAACTTCTTTGTGTTGTGTGTATTCAACTCACAGAGTTGAACCTTTCTTGAGAGAGAGCAGAGTTGAAACACTCTTTCTTTGGAATTTGCTAGTGCAGATTTCAAACGCTTCGAAGACAGTGATAGAAAAGGGTATATCTTCGTATTAAAACTAGACAAAATCATTCTCAGAAAACACTTTGTGATGTGTGTGTTCAACTCACAGTAGTTTAACCTTTCTTTAATCGAGCAGTTTGGAAATACACTCTTTGTAAGTCTGCAGCTGGATAATTGTCCCTCTATGAGCCCTTCGTTGGAAACGGGATTTCCTCTTATAATGCTAGACAGAAGAATTCTCAGTCACTTCTTTGTGTTGTGGTATTCAAGTCACAGAGTTGAAACTTCCTTTAGACAGAGCAGTTTTGAAAAACTCTTTCTGTGGAATTTGCAAGTGGAGATTTCAAGCGATTTGAGGCTAATCTTTGAAATGGAAATATCTTCGTGTAAAAACTACACAGAATCATTCTCAGAAACTGCTTTGTTATGTGTGCGTTCAGCTCACAGAGTTCCACCTTTCTTTTCATAGAGCAGTTTGGAAAGACTCTGTCTGTAAAGTCTGCAAGTGATTACTTGGACCCCTTTGAGGACTTCTTTGGAAGCGGGATTTTTTCATTTACTGCTAGATAGAAGAATTCTCAGTAAATCCTTTGTGTTGTGTGTATTCAACTCACAGAGTGGAACCTTCCTTTATTCAGAGCAGTTTTGAAACACTCTTTTTGTGGAATTTGCAAGTGGAGATTTCAAGCGAATTCACGCCAATCTTAGACATGGAAACATCTTCGTATTAAAAGTACACAGAGTCATTCGCAGAAACTAGTTTGTGATGTGTGCCTTCAACTCACGGAGTTTAACCTTTCTTTTCATAGAGCAGTTTGGAAACACTCTATTTGTAAAGTCTGCAAGTGGATATTTGGACGTCTTTGAGGCCTTCGTTGGAAACGGGATTTCTTCATATAACGCTAGACAGAAGAATTCTCAGTAACTTCTTTGTGTTGTGTGTATTCCACTCACAGAGTTGAACCTTTCTTGAGAGAGAGCAGAGTTGAAACACTCTGTTTGTGGAATTTGCTAGTGCAGATTTCAAACGCTTCGAAGACAGTGATAGAAAAGGATATATCTTCGTATTAAAACTAGACAAAATCATTCTCAGAAAACACTTTGTGATGTGTGTGTTCAACTCACAGAGTTTAACCTTTCTTTAATCGAGCAGTTTGGAAATACACTCTTTGTAAGTCTGCAGCTGGATAATTGTCCCTCTATGAGCCCTTCGTTGGAAACGGGATTTCCTCATATAATGCTAGACAGAAGAATTCTCAGTAACTTCTTTGTGTTGTTTGTATTCAACTCACAGATTTGAACCTTCCTTTAGAGAGAGCAGATTTGAAACACTCTGGTTTTGGAATTTGCAAGTGCAGATTACAAGCGCTTCTAGGCCTATGGCAGAAAAGGAAATATCTTCGTATAAAAACTACACAGAATCATTCTCAACAACTACTTTGTGATGTGTGCGTTCAACGCACAGAGTTTAACCTTTCTTTTCATAGAGCAGTTTGGAAACACTCTGTTTGTAAAGTCTGCAGGTGCTTATTTGGACTTCTTTGAGGCCTTCGTTGGAAACGGGATTTCTTCATATAATGCTAGACAGAAGAATTCTCAGTCACTTCTTTGTGTTGTGTGTATTCAAGTCACAGAGTTGAACCTTCCTTTACACAGAGCAGTTTTGAAAAACTCTTTCTGTGGAATTTGCAAGTGGAGATTTCAAGCGATTTGAGGCTAATCTTTGAAATGGAAATATCTTCGTGTAAAAACTACACAGAATCATTCTCAGAAACTGCTTTGTTATGTGTGCGTTCAGCTCACAGAGTTCCACCTTTCTTTTCATAGAGCAGTTTGGAAAGACTCTGTCTGTAAAGTCTGCAAGTGATTACTTGGACCCCTTTGAGGACTTTGTTGGAAGCGGGATTTTTTCATTTACTGCCAGACAGAAGAATTCTCAGTGAATCCTTTGTGTTGTGTGTATTCAACTCACAGAGTGGAACCTTCCTTTATTCAGAGCAGTTTTGAAACACTCTTTTTGTGGAATTTGCAAGTGGAGATTTCAAGCGAATTCACGCCCATCTTAGACATGGAAACATCTTCGTATTAAAAGTACACAGAGTCATTCGCAGAAACTAGTTTGTGATGTGTGCCTTCAACTCACAGAGTTTAACCTTTCTTTTCATAGAGCAGTTTGGAAACACTCTATTTGTAAAGTCTGCAAGTGGATATTTGGACCTCTTTGAGGCCTTCGTTGGAAACGGGATTTCTTCATATAACGCTAGACAGAAGAATTCTCAGTAACTTCTTTGTGTTGTGTGTATTCCACTCACAGAGTTGAACCTTTCTTGAGAGAGAGCAGAGTTGAAACACTCTGTTTGTGGAATTTGCTAGTGCAGATTTCAAACGCTTCGAAGACAGTGATAGAAAAGGATATATCTTCGTATTAAAACTAGACAAAATCATTCTCAGAAAAAACTTTGTGATGTGTGTGTTCAACTCACAGAGTTTAACCTTTCTTTAATCGAGCAATTTGGAAATACACTCTTTGTAAGTCTGCAGCTGGATAATTGTCCCTCTATGAGCCCTTCGTTGGAAACGGGATTTCCTCATATAATGCTAGACAGAAGAATTCTCAGTAACTTCTTTGTGTTGTGTGTATTCAACTCACAGAGTTGAACCTTTCTTTAGAGAGAGCAGAGTTGAAACACTCTGTTTTTGGAATTTGCAAGTGCAGATTTCAAGCGATTCTAGGCCTATGGCAGAAAAGGAAATATCTTCGTATAAAAACTACACAGAATCATTCTCAACAACTACTTTGTGATGTGTGCGTTCAACTCACAGAGTTTAACCTTTCTTTTCATAGAGCAGTTTGGAAACACTCTGTTTGTAAAGCCTGCAAGTGCTTTTTTGGACTTCATTGAGGCCTTCGTTGGAAACGGGATTTCTTCATATAATGCTAGACAGAAGAATTCTCAGTCACTTCTTTGTGTTGTGTGTATTCAAGTCACAGAGTTGAACCTTCCTTTAGACAGAGCAGTTTTGAAAAATTCTTTCTGTGTAATTTGCAAGTGGAGATTTCAAGCGATTTGAGGCTAATCTTTGAAATGGAAATATCTTCGTGTAAAAACTACACAGAATCATTCTCAGAAACTGCTTTGTCATCTGTGCGTTCAGTTCACAGAGTTTCACCTTTCTCTTCATAGAGCAGTTTGGAAAGACTCTGTCTGTAAAGTCTGCAAGTGATTAGTTAGACCCCTTTGAGGCCTTCGTTGGAAGCGGGATTTCTCATTTACTGCTAGACAGAAGAATTCTCAGTAAATCCTTTGTGTTGTGTGTATTCAACTCACAGAGTGGAACCTTCCTTTATTCAGAGCAGTTTTGAAACACTCTTTTTGTGCAATTTGCAAGTGGAGATTTCAAGCGATTTGACGCCAATCTTAGACATGGAAATATCTTCATATTAAAAGTACACAGAATCATTCTCAGAAAAACTCTTTGTGATGTGTGTGTTCAACTCACAGAGTTTAACCTTTCTTTAATCGAGCAGTTTGGAAATACACTCTTTGTAAGTCTGCAGGTGGATATTTGGCCCTCTTTGAGCCCTTCGTTGGAAACGGGATTTCCTCATATAATGCTAGACAGAAGAATTCTCAGTAACTTCTTTGTGTTGTTTGTATTCAACACACAGATTTGAACCTTCCTTTAGAGAGAGCAGATTTGAAACACTCTGTTTTTGGAATTTGCAAGTGCAGATTTCAAGCGCTTCTAGGCCTATGGCAGAAAAGGAAATATCTTCGTATAAAAACTACACAGAATCATTCTCAACAACTACTTGTGATGTGTGCGTTGAACTCACAGAGTTTAACCTTTCTTTTCATAGAGCAGTTTGGAAACACTCTGTTTGTAAAGCCTGCAAGTGCTTTTGTGGACTTCATTGAGGCCTTCGTTGGAAACGGGATTTCTTCATACAATGCTAGACAGAAGAATTCTCAGTAACTTCTTTGTGTTGTGTGTATTCAACTCACAGAGTTGAACCTTTCTTTAGAGAGAGCAGAGTTGAAACACTGTGTTTTTGGAATTTGCAAGGGCAGATTTCAAGCGATTCTAGGCCTATGGCAGAAAAGGAAATATCTTCGTATAAAAACTACACAGAATCATTCTCAACAACTACTTTGTGATGTGTGCGTTCAACTCACAAAGTTTAACCTTTCTTTTCATAGAGCAGTTTGGAAACACTCTGTTTGTAAAGCCTGCAATTGCTTTTTTGGACTTCATTGAGGCCTTCGTTGGAAAGGGGATTTCTTCATATAATGCTAGACAGAAGAATTCTCAGTAAATCCTTTGTGTTGTGTGTATTCAACTCACAGAGTGAAACCTTCCTTTATTCAGAGCAGTTTTGAAATACTCTTTTTGTGGAATTTGCAAGTGGAGATTTCAAGCGATTTGACGCCAATCTTAGACATGGAAATATCTTCATATTAAAAGTACACAGAGTCATTCGTAGAAACTAGGTTGTGATGTGTGCCTTCAACTCACAGAGTTTAACCTTTCTTTTCATAGAGCAGTTCGGAAACACTCTATTTGTAAAGTCTGCAAGTGGATATTTGGACCTCTTTGAGGCCTTCGTTGGAAACGGGATTTCTTCATATAACGCTAGACAGAAGAATTTTCAGTAACTTCTTTGTGTTGTGTGTATTCAACTCACAGAGTTGAACCTTTCTTTAGAGAGAGCAGAGTTGAAACACTCTTTTTGTGGAATTTGCTAGTGCAGATTTCAAACGCTTCGAAGACAGTGATAGAAAAGGATATATCTTCGTATTAAAACTAGACAAAATCATTCTCAGAAAACACTTTGTGATGTGTGTGTTCAATTCACAGAGTTTAACCTTTCTTTAATCGAGCAGTTTGGAAACACTCTATTTGTAAAGTCCGCAAGTGGATATTTGGACATCTTTGAGGCCTTCGTTGGAAACGGGATTTCTTCATACAACGCTAGACAGAAGAATTCTCAGTCACTTCTTTGTGTTGTGTGTATTCAAGTCACAGAGTTGAACCTTCCTTTAGACAGAGCAGTTTTGAAAAATTCTTTCTGTGGAGTTTGCAAGTGGAGATTTCAAGCGATTTGAGGCTAATCTTTGAAATGGAAATATCTTCGTGTAAAAACTACACAGAATCATTCTCAGAAACTGCTTTGTCATCTGTGCGTTCAGTTCACAGAGTTTCACCTTTCTCTTCATAGAGCAGTTTGGAAAGACTCTGTCTGTAAAGTCTGCAAGTGATTAGTTAGACCCCTTTGAGGCCTTCGTTGGAAGCGGGATTTCTCATTTACTGCTAGACAGAAGAATTCTCAGTAAATCCTTTGTGTTGTGTGTATTCAACTCACAGAGTGGAACCTTCCTTTATTCAGAGCAGTTTTGAAACACTCTTTTTGTGGAATTTGCAAGTGGAGATTTCAAGCGATTTGACGCCAATCTTAGACATGGAAATATCTTCACATTAAAAGTACACAGAGTCATTCGTAGAAACTAGTTTGTGATGTGCGCCTTCAACTCACAGAGTTTAACCTTTCTTTTCATAGAGCAGTTGGGAAACACTCTATTTGTAAAGTCTGCAAGTGGATATTTGGACCTCTTTGAGGCCTTCGTTGGAAACGGGATTTCTTCATATAACGCTAGACAGAAGAATTCTCAGTAACTTCTTTGTGTTGTTTGTATTCAACTCACAGATTTGAACCTTCCTTTAGAGAGAGCAGATTTGAAACACTCTGTTTTTGGAATTTGCAAGTGCAGATTTCAAGCGCTTCTAGGCCTATGGCAGAAAAGGAAATATCTTCGTATAAAAACTACACAGAATCATTCTCAACAACTACTTTGTGATGTGTGCGTTAAACTCACAGAGTTTAACCTTTCTTTTCATAGAGCAGTTTGGAAACACTCTGTTTGTAAAGCCTGCAAGTGCTTTTTTGGACTTCATTGAGGCCTTCGTTGGAAACGGGATTTCTTCATATAATGCTAGACAGAAGAATTCTCAGTCACTTCTTTGTGTTGTGTGTATTCAAGTCACAGAGTTGAACCTTCCTTTAGACAGAGCAGTTTTGAAAAATTCTTTCTGTGGAGTTTGCAAGTGGAGATTTCAAGCGATTTGAGGCTAATCTTTGAAATGGAAATATCTTCGTGTAAAAACTACACAGAATCATTCTCAGAAACTGCTTTGTCATCTGTGCGTTCAGTTCACAGAGTTTCACCTTTCTCTTCATAGAGCAGTTTGGAAAGACTCTGTCTGTAAAGTCTGCAAGTGATTAGTTAGACCCCTTTGAGGCCTTCGTTGGAAGCGGGATTTCTCATTTACTGCTAGACAGAAGAATTCTCAGTAAATCCTTTGTGTTGTGTGTATTCAACTCACAGAGTGGAACCTTCCTTTATTCAGAGCAGTTTTGAAACACTCTTTTTGTGGAATTTGCAAGTGGAGATTTCAAGCGAATTCACGCCAATCTTAGACATGGAAACATCTTCGTATTAAAAGTACACAGAGTCATTCGTAGAAACTAGTTTGTGATGTGTGCCTTCAACTCACAGAGTTTAACCTTTCTTTTCATAGAGCAGTTTGGAAACACTCTATTTGTAAAGTCTGCAAGTGGATATTTGGACCTCTTTGAGGCCTTCGTTGGAAACGGGATTTCTTCATACAACGCTAGACAGAAGAATTCTCAGTAACTTCTTTGTGTTGTGTGTATTCAACTCACAGAGTTGAACCTTTCTTTAGAGAGAGCAGAGTTGAAACACTCTGTTTTTGGAATTTGCAACTGCAGATTTCAAGCGATTCTAGGCCTATGGCAGAAAAGGAAATATCTTCGTATAAAAACTACACAGAATCATTCTCAACAACTACTTTGTGATGTGTGCGTTCAACTCACAGAGTTTAACCTTTCTTTTCATAGAGCAGTTTGGAAACACTCTGTTTGGAAAGCCTGCAAGTGCTTTTTTGGACTTCATTGAGGCCTTCGTTGGAAACGGGATTTCTTCATATAATGCTAGACAGAAGAATTCTCAGTCACTTCTTTGTGTTGTGTGTATTCAAGTCACAGAGTTGAACCTTCCTTTAGACAGAGCAGTTTTGAAAAATTCTTTCTGTGTAATTTGCAAGTGGAGATTTCAAGCGATTTGAGGCTAATCTTTGAAATGGAAATATCTTCGTGTAAAAACTACACAGAATCATTCTCAGAAACTGCTTTGTCATCTGTGCGTTCAGTTCACAGAGTTTCACCTTTCTCTTCATAGAGCAGTTTGGAAAGACTCTGTCTGTAAAGTCTGCAAGTGATTAGTTAGACCCCTTTGAGGCCTTCGTTGGAAGCGGGATTTCTCATTTACTGCTAGACAGAAGAATTCTCAGTAAATCCTTTGTGTTGTGTGTATTCAACTCACAGAGTGGAACCTTCCTTTATTCAGAGCAGTTTTGAAACACTCTTTTTGTGGAATTTGCAAGTGGAGATTTCAAGCGATTTGACGCCAATCTTAGACATGGAAATATCTTCATATTAAAAGTACACAGAGTCATTCGTAGAAACTAGTTTGTGATGTGTGCCTTCAACTCACAGAGTTTAACCTTTCTTTTCATAGAGCAGTTGGGAAACACTCTATTTGTAAAGTCTGCAAGTGGATATTTGGACCTCTTTGAGGCCTTCGTTGGAAACGGGATTTCTTCATATAACGCTAGACAGAAGAATTCTCAGTAACTTCTTTGTGTTGTGTGTATTCAACTCACAGAGTTGAACCTTTCTTTAGAGGGAGCAGAGGTGAAACACTCTTTTTGTGGAATTTGCTAGTGTAGATTTCAAACGCTTCGAAGACAGTGATAGAAAAGGATATATCTTCGTATTAAAAGTAGACAAAATCATTCTCAGAAAACTCTTTGTGATGTGTGTGTTCAACTCACAGAGTTTAACCTTTCTTTAATCGAGCAGTTTGGAAATACACTCTTTGTAAGTCTGCAGGTGGATATTTGGCCCTCTTTGAGCCCTTCGTTGGAAACGGGATTTCCTCATATAATGCTAGACAGAAGAATTCTCAGTAACTTCTTTGTGTTGTTTGTATTCAACACACAGATTTGAACCTTCCTTTAGAGAGAGCAGATTTGAAACACTCTGTTTTTGGAATTTGCAAGTGCAGATTTCAAGCGCTTCTAGGCCTATGGCAGAAAAGGAAATATCTTCGTATAAAAACTACACAGAATCATTCTCAACAACTACTTTGTGATGTGTGCGTTCAACTCACAGAGTTTAACCTTTCTTTTCATAGAGCAGTTTGGAAACACTCTGTTTGTAAAGCCTGCAAGTTCTTTTTTGGACTTCATTGAGGCCTTCGTTGGAAACGGGATTTCTTCATATAATGCTAGACAGAAGAATTCTCAGTCACTTCTTTGTGTTGTGTGTATTCAAGTCACAGAGTTGAACCTTCCTTTAGACAGAGCAGTTTTGAAAAATTCTTTCTGTGGAGTTTGCAAGTGGAGATTTCAAGCGATTTGAGGCTAATCTTTGAAATGGAAATATCTTCGTGTAAAAACTACACAGAATCATTCTCAGAAACTGCTTTGTCATCTGTGCGTTCAGTTCACAGAGTTTCACCTTTCTCTTCATAGAGCAGTTTGGAAAGACTCTGTCTGTAAAGTCTGCAAGTGATTAGTTAGACCCCTTTGAGGCCTTCGTTGGAAGCGGGATTTCTCATTTACTGCTAGACAGAAAGAATTCTCAGTAAATCCTTTGTGTTGTGTGTATTCAACTCACAGAGTGGAACCTTCCTTTATTCAGAGCAGTTTTGAAACACTCTTTTTGTGGAATTTGCAAGTGGAGATTTCAAGCGATTTGACGCCAATCTTAGACATGGAAATATCTTCATATTAAAAGTACACAGGTCATTCGTAAAAACTAGTTTGTGATGTGTGCCTGCAACTCACAGAGTTTAACCTTTCTTTTCATAGAGCAGTTTGGAAACACTCTATTTGTAAAGTCTGCAAGTGGATATTTGGACCTCTTTGAGGCCTTCGTTGGAAACGGGATTTCTTCATACAACGCTAGACAGAAGAATTCTCAGTAACTTCTTTGTGTTGTGTGTATTCAACTCACAGAGTTGAATCTTTCTTTAGAGAGAGCAGAGTTGAAACACTCTGTTTTTGGAATTTGCAAGTGCAGATTTCAAGCGCTTCTAGGCCTATGGCAGAAAAGGAAATATCTTCGTATAAAAACTACACAGAATCATTCTCAACAACTACTTTGTGATGTGTGCATTCAACTCACAGAGTTTAACCTTTCTTTTCATAGAGCAGTTTGGAAACAGTCTGTTTGTAAAGCCTGCAAGTGCTTTTTTGGACTTCATTGAGGCCTTCGTTGGAAACGGGATTTCTTCATATAATGCTAGACAGAAGAATTCTCAGTCACTTCTTTGTGCTGTGTGTATTCAAGTCCCAGAGTTGAACCTTCCTTTAGACAGAGCAGTTTTGAAAAATTCTTTCTGTGGAGTTTGCAAGTGGAGATTTCAAGCGATTTGAGGCTAATCTTTGAAATGGAAATATCTTCGTGTAAAAACTACACAGAAGCATTCTCAGAAACTGCTTTGTCATCTGTGCGTTCAGTTCACAGAGTTTCACCTTTCTCTTCATAGAGCAGTTTGGAAAGACTCTGTCTGTAAAGTCTGCAAGTGATTAGTTAGACCCCTTTGAGGCCTTCGTTGGAAGCGGGATTTCTCATTTACTGCTAGACAGAAGAATTCTCAGTAAATCCTTTGTGTTGTGTGTATTCAACTCACAGAGTGGAACCTTCCTTTATTCAGAGCAGTTTTGAAAAACACTTTTTGTGGAATTTGCAAGTGGAGATTTCAAGCGATTTGACGCCAATCTTAGACATGGAAAAATCTTCATATTAAAAGTACACAGAGTCATTCGTAGAAACTAGTTTGTGATGTGTGCCTTCAACTCACAGAGTTTAACCTTTCTTTTCATAGAGCAGTTGGGAAACACTCTATTTGTAAAGTCTGCAAGTGGATATTTGGACCTCTTTGAGGCCTTCGTTGGAAACGGGATTTCTTCATATAACGCTAGACAGAAGAATTCTCAGTAACTTCTTTGTGTTGTGTGTATTCAACTCACAGAGTTGAACCTTTCTTTAGAGGGAGCAGAAGTGAAACACTCTTTTTGTGGAATTTGCTAGTGTAGATTTCAAACGCTTCGAAGACAGTGATAGAAAAGGATATATCTTCGTATTAAAAGTAGACAAAATCATTCTCAGAAAACTCTTTGTGATGTGTGTGTTCAACTCACAGAGTTTAACCTTTCTTTTCATAGAGCAGTTTGGAAACACTCTGTTTGTAAAGCCTGCAAGTGCTTTTTTGGACTTCATTGAGGCCTTCGTTGGAAACGGGATTTCTTCATACAACGCTAGACAGAAGAATTCTCAGTCACTTCTTTGTGTTGTGTGTATTCAAGTCACAGAGTTGAACCTTCCTTTAGACAGAGCAGTTTTGAAAAATTCTTTCTGTGTAATTTGCAAGTGGAGATTTCAAGCGATTTGAGGCTAATCTTTGAAATGGAAATATCTTCGTGTAAAAACTACACAGAATCATTCTCAGAAACTGCTTTGTCATCTGTGCGTTCAGTTCACAGAGTTTCACCTTTCTCTTCATAGAGCAGTTTGGAAAGACTCTGTCTGTAAAGTCTGCAAGTGATTAGTTAGACCCCTTTGAGGCCTTCGTTGGAAGCGGGATTTCTCATTTACTGCTAGACAGAAGAATTCTCAGTAAATCCTTTGTGTTGTGTGTATTCAACTCACAGAGTGGAACCTTCCTTTATTCAGAGCAGTTTTGAAAAACACTTTTTGTGGAATTTGCAAGTGGAGATTTCAAGCGATTTGACGCCAATCTTAGACATGGAAATATCTTCATATTAAAAGTACACAGAGTCATTCGTAGAAACTAGTTTGTGATGTGTGCCTTCAACTCACAGAGTTTAACCTTTCTTTTCATAGAGCAGTTGGGAAACACTCTATTTGTAAAGTCTGCAAGTGGATATTTGGACCTCTTTGAGGCCTTCGTTGGAAACGGGATTTCTTCATATAACGCTAGACAGAAGAATTCTCAGTAACTTCTTTGTGTTGTGTGTATTCAACTCACAGAGTTGAACCTTTCTTTAGAGGGAGCAGAGGTGAAACAGTCTTTTTGTGGAATTTGCTAGTGTAGATTTCAAACGCTTCGAAGTCAGTGATAGAAAAGGATATATCTTCGTATTAAAAGTAGACAAAATCATTCTCAGAAAACTCGTTGTGATGTGTGTGTTCAACTCACAGAGTTTAACCTTTCTTTAATCGAGCAGTTTGGAAATACACTCTTTGTAAGTCTGCAGGTGGATATTTGGCCCTCTTTGAGCCCTTCGTTGGAAACGGGATTTCCTCATATAATGCTAGACAGAAGAATTCTCAGTAACTTCTTTGTTTTGTTTGTATTCAACTCACAGATTTGAACCTTCCTTTAGAGAGAGCAGATTTGAAACACTCTGTTTTTGGAATTTGCAAGTGCAGATTTCAAGCGCTTCTAGGCCTATGGCAGAAAAGGAAATATCTTCGTATAAAAACTACACAGAATCATTCTCAACAACTACTTTGTGATGTGTGCGTTCAACTCACAGAGTTTAACCTTTCTTTTCATAGAGCAGTTTGGAAACACTCTGTTTGTAAAGCCTGCAAGTGCTTTTTTGGACTTCATTGAGGCCTTCGTTGGAAACGGGATTTCTTCATATAATGCTAGACAGAAGAATTCTCAGTCACTTCTTTGTGTTGTGTGTATTCAAGTCACAGAGTTGAACCTTCCTTTAGACAGAGCAGTTTTGAAAAATTCTTTCTGTGGAATTTGCAAGTGGAGATTTCAAGCGATTTGAGGCTAATCTTTGAAATGGAAATATCTTCGTGTAAAAACTACACAGAATCATTCTCAGAAACTGCTTTGTCATCTGTGCGTTCAGTTCACAGAGTTTCACCTTTCTCTTCATACAGCAGTTTGGAAAGACTCTGTCTGTAAAGTCTGCAAGTGATTAGTTAGACCCCTTTGAGGCCTTCGTTGGAAGCGGGATTTCTCATTTACTGCTAGACAGAAGAATTCTCAGTAAATCCTTTGTGTTGTGTGTATTCAACTCACAGAGTGGAACCTTCCTTTATTCAGAGCAGTTTTCAAACACTCTTTTTGTGGAATTTGCAAGTGGAGATTTCAAGCGATTTGATGCCAATCTTAGACATGGAAATATCTTCATATTAAAAGTACACAGAGTCATTCGTAGAAACTAGTTTGTGATGTGTGCCTTCAACTCACAGAGTTTAACCTTTCTTTTCATAGAGCAGTTGGGAAACACTCTATTTGTAAAGTCTGCAAGTGGATATTTGGACCTCTTTGAGGCCTTCGTTGGAAACGGGATTTCTTCATATAACGCTAGACAGAAGAATTCTCAGTAACTTCTTTGTGTTGTGTGTATTCAACTCACAGAGTTGAACCTTTCTTTAGAGAGAGCAGAGTTGAAACACTCTTTTTGTGGAATTTGCTAGTGCAGATTTCAAACGCTTCGAAGACAGTGATAGAAAAGGATATATCTTCGTATTAAAACTAGACAAAATCATTCTCAGAAAACACTTTGTGATGTGTGTGTTCAACTCACAGAGTTTAACCTTTCTTTAATCGAGCAGTTTGGAAATACACTCTTTGTAAGTCTGCAGGTGGATAATTGGCCCTCTTTGAGCCCTTCGTTGGAAACGGGATTTCCTCATATAATGCTAGACAGAAGAATTCTCAGTAACTTCTTTGTGTTGTTTGTATTCAACTCACAGATTTGAACCTTCCTTTAGAGAGAGCAGATTTGAAACACTCTGTTTTTGGAATTTGCAAGTGCAGATTTCAAGCGCTTCTAGGCCTATGGCAGAAAAGGAAATATCTTCGTATAAAAACTACACAGAATCATTCTCAACAACTACTTTGTGATGTGTGCGTTCAACTCCCAGAGTTTAACCTTTCTTTTCATAGAGCAGTTTGGAAACACTCTGTTTGTAAAGCCTGCAAGTGCTTTTTTGGACTTCATTGAGGCCTTCGTTGGAAACGGGATTTCTTCATATAATGCTAGACAGAAGAATTCTCAGTCACTTCTTTGTGTTGTGTGTATTCAAGTCACAGAGTTGAACCTTCCTTTAGACAGAGTAGTTTTGAAAAATTCTTTCTGTGGAGTTTGCAAGTGGAGATTTCAAGCGAATTGAGGCTAATCTTTGAAATGGAAATATCTTCGTGTAAAAACTATACAGAATCATTCTCAGAAACTGCTTTGTCATCTGTGCGTTCAGTTCACAGAGTTTCACCTTTCTCTTCATAGAGCAGTTTGGAAAGACTCTGTCTGTAAAGTCTGCAAGTGATTAGTTAGACCCCTTTGAGGCCTTCGTTGGAAGCGGGATTTCTCATTTACTGCTAGACAGGAGAATTCTCAGTAAATCCTTTGTGTTGAGTGTATTCAACTCACAGAGTGGAACCTTCCTTTATTCAGAGCAGTTTTGAAAAACACTTTTTGTGGAATTTGCAAGTGGAGATTTCAAGCGATTTGACGCCAATCTTAGACATGGAAATATCTTCATATTAAAAGTACACAGAATCATTCTCAGAAAACTCTTTGTGATGTGTGTGTTCAACTCACAGAGTTTAACCTTTCTTTTCATAGAGCAGTTTGGAAACACTCTGTTTGTAAAGCCTGCAAGTGCTTCTTTGGACTTCATTGAGGCCTTCGTTGGAAACGGGATTTCTTCATACAACGCTAGACAGAAGAATTCTCAGTAACTTCTTTGTGTTGTGTGTATTCAACTCACAGAGTTGAACCTTTCTTTAGAGAGAGCAGAGTTGAAACACTCTGTTTTTGGAATTTGCAAGTGCAGATTTCAAGCGATTCTAGGCCTATGGCAGAAAAGGAAATATCTTCGTATAAAAACTACACAGAATCATTCTCAACAACTACTTTGTGATGTGTGCGTTCAACTCACAGAGTTTAACCTTTCTTTTCATAGAGCAGTTTGGAAACACTCTGTTTGTAAAGCCTGCAAGTGCTTTTTTGGACTTCATTGAGGCCTTCGTTGGAAACGGGATTTCTTCATGTAATGCTAGACAGAAGAATTCTCAGTCACTTCTTTGTGTTGTGTGTATTCAAGTCACAGAGTTGAACCTTCCTTTAGACAGAGCAGTTTTGAAAAATTCTTTCTGTGGAGTTTGCAAGTGGAGATTTCAAGCGATTTGAGGCTAATCTTTGAAATGGAAATATCTTCGTGTAAAAACTACACAGAATCATTCTCAGAAACTGCTTTGTCATCTGTGCGTTCAGTTCACAGAGTTTCACCTTTCTCTTCATAGAGCAGTTTGGAAAGACTCTGTCTGTAAAGTCTGCAAGTGATTAGTTAGACCCCTTTGAGGCCTTCGTTGGAAGCGGGATTTCTCATTTACTGCTAGACAGAAGAATTCTCAGTAAATCCTTTGTGTTGTGTGTATTCAACTCACAGAGTGGAACCTTCCTTTATTCAGAGCAGTTTTGAAAAACACTTTTCGTGGAATTTGCAAGTGGAGATTTCAAGCGATTTGACGCCAATCTTAGACATGGAAATATCTTCATATTAAAAGTACACAGAGTCATTCGTAGAAACTAGTTTGTGATGTGTGCCTTCAACTCACAGAGTTTAACCTTTCTTTTCATAGAGCAGTTTGGAAACACTCTATTTGTAAAGTCTGCAAGTGGATATTTGGACCTCTTTGAGGCCTTCGTTGGAAACGGGATTTCTTCATACAACGCTAGACAGAAGAATTCTCAGTAACTTCTTTGTGTTGTGTGTATTTAACTCACAGAGTTGAACCTTTCTTTAGAGAGAGCAGAGTTGAAACACTCTGTTTTTGGAATTTGCAACTGCAGATTTCAAGCGATTCTAGGCCTATGGCAGAAAAGGAAATATCTTCGTATAAAAACTACACAGAATCATTCTCAACAACTACTTTGTGATGTGTGCGTTCAACTCACAGAGTTTAACCTTTCTTTTCATAGAGCAGTTTGGAAACACTCTGTTTGTAAAGCCTGCAAGTGCTTTTTTGGACTTCATTGAGGCCTTCGTTGGAAACGGGATTTCTTCATATAATGCTAGACAGAAGAATTCTCAGTCACTTCTTTGTGTTGTGTGTATTCAAGTCACAGAGTTGAACCTTCCTTTAGACAGAGCAGTTTTGAAAAATTCTTTCTGTGGAGTTTGCAAGTGGAGATTTCAAGCGATTTGAGGCTAATCTTTGAAATGGAAATATCTTCGTGTAAAAACTACACAGAATCATTCTCAGAAACTGCTTTGTCATCTGTGCGTTCAGTTCACAGAGTTTCACCTTTCTCTTCATAGAGCAGTTTGGAAAGACTCTGTCTGTAAAGTCTGCAAGTGATTAGTTAGACCCCTTTGAGGCCTTCGTTGGAAGCGGGATTTCTCATTTACTGCTAGACAGAAGAATTCTCAGTAAATCCTTTGTGTTGTGTGTATTCAACTCACAGAGTGGAACCTTCCTTTATTCAGAGCAGTTTTGAAAAACACTTTTTGTGGAATTTGCAAGTGGAGATTTCAAGCGATTTGACGCCAATCTTAGACATGGAAATATCTTCATATTAAAAGTACACAGAGTCATTCGTAGAAACTAGTTTGTGATGTGTGCCTTCAACTCACAGAGTTTAACCTTTCTTTTCATAGAGCAGTTTGGAAACACTCTATTTGTAAAGTCTGCAAGTGGATATTTGGACCTCTTTGAGGCCTTCGTTGGAAACGGGATTTCTTCATACAACGCTAGACAGAAGAATTCTCAGTAACTTCTTTGTGTTGTGTGTATTCAACTCACAGAGTTGAACCTTTCTTTAGAGAGAGCAGAGTTGAAACACTCTGTTTTTGGAATTTGCAACTGCAGATTTCAAGCGATTCTAGGCCTATGGCAGAAAAGGAAATATCTTCGTATAAAAACTACACAGAATCATTCTCAACAACTACTTTGTGATGTGTGCGTTCAACTCACAGAGTTTAACCTTTCTTTTCATAGAGCAGTTTGGAAACACTCTGTTTGTAAAGCCTGCAAGTGCTTTTTTGGACTTCATTGAGGCCTTCGTTGGAAACGAGATTTCTTCATATAATGCTAGACAGAAGAATTCTCAGTCACTTCTTTGTGTTGTGTGTATTCAAGTCACAGAGTTGAACCTTCCTTTAGACAGAGCAGTTTTGAAAAATTCTTTCTGTGTAATTTGCAAGTGGAGATTTCAAGCGATTTGAGGCTAATCTTTGAAATGGAAATATCTTCGTGTAAAAACTACACAGAATCATTCTCAGAAACTGCTTTGTCATCTGTGCGTTCAGTTCACAGAGTTTCACCTTTCTCTTCATAGAGCAGTTTGGAAAGACTCTGTCTGTAAAGTCTGCAAGTGATTAGTTAGACCCCTTTGAGGCCTTCGTTGGAAGCGGGATTTCTCATTTACTGCTAGACAGAAGAATTCTCAGTAAATCCTTTGTGTTGTGTGTATTCAACTCACAGAGTGGAACCTTCCTTTATTCAGAGCAGTTTTGAAACACTCTTTTTGTGGAATTTGCAAGTGGAGATTTCAAGCGATTTGACGCCAATCTTAGACATGGAAAAATCTTCATATTAAAAGTACACAGAGTCATTCGTAGAAACTAGTTTGTGATGTGTGCCTTCAACTCACAGAGTTTAACCTTTCTTTTCATAGAGCAGTTGGGAAACACTCTATTTGTAAAGTCTGCAAGTGGATATTTGGACCTCTTTGAGGCCTTCGTTGGAAACGGGATTTCTTCATATAAAGCTAGACAGAAGAATTCTCAGTAACTTCTTTGTGTTGTGTGTATTCAACTCACAGAGTTGAACCTTTCTTTAGAGGGAGCAGAGGTGAAACACTCTTTTTGTGGAATTTGCTAGTGTAGATTTCAAACGCTTCGAAGACAGTGATAGAAAAGGATATATCTTCGTATTAAAAGTAGACAAAATCATTCTCAGAAAACTCTTTGTGATGTGTGTGTTCAACTCACAGAGTTTAACCTTTCTTTAATCGAGCAGTTTGGAAATACACTCTTTGTAAGTCTGCAGGTGGATATTTGGCCCTCTTTGAGCCCTTCGTTGGAAACGGGATTTCCTCATATAATGCTAGACAGAAGAATTCTCAGTAACTTCTTTGTGTTGTTTGTATTCAACACACAGATTTGAACCTTCCTTTAGAGAGAGCAGATTTGAAACACTCTGTTTTTGGAATTTGCAAGTGCAGATTTCAAGCGCTTCTAGGCCTATGGCAGAAAAGGAAATATCTTCGTATAAAAACTACACAGAATCATTCTCAACAACTACTTTGTGATGTGTGCGTTCAACTCACAGAGTTTAACCTTTCTTTTCATAGAGCAGTTTGGAAACACTCTGTTTGTAAAGCCTGCAAGTGCTTTTTTGGACTTCATTGAGGCCTTCGTTGGAAACGGGATTTCTTCATATAATGCTAGACAGAAGAATTCTCAGTCACTTCTTTGTGTTGTGTGTATTCAAGTCACAGAGTTGAACCTTCCTTTAGACAGAGCAGTTTTGAAAAATTCTTTCTGTGGAGTTTGCAAGTGGAGATTTCAAGCGATTTGAGGCTAATCTTTGAAATGGAAATATCTTCGTGTAAAAACTACACAGAATCATTCTCAGAAACTGCTTTGTCATCTGTGCGTTCAGTTCACAGAGTTTCACCTTTCTCTTCATAGAGCAGTTTGGAAAGACTCTGTCTGTAAAGTCTGCAAGTGATTAGTTAGACCCCTTTGAGGCCTTCGTTGGAAGCGGGATTTCTCATTTACTGCTAGACAGAAGAATTCTCAGTAAATCCTTTGTGTTGTGTGTATTCAACTCACAGAGTGGAACCTTCCTTTATTCAGAGCAGTTTTGAAACACTCTTTTTGTGGAATTTGCAAGTGGAGATTTCAAGCGATTTGACGCCAATCTTAGACATGGAAATATCTTCATATTAAAAGTACACAGAGTCATTCGTAGAAACTAGTTTGTGATGTGTGCCTTCAACTCACAGAGTTTAACCTTTCTTTTCATAGAGCAGTTGGGAAACACTCTATTTGTAAAGTCTGCAAGTGGATATTTGGACCTTCTTTGAGGCCTTCGTTGGAAACGGGATTTCTTCATATAACGCTAGACAGAAGAATTCTCAGTAACTTCTTTGTGTTGTGTGTATTCAACTCACAGAGTTGAACCTTTCTTTAGAGGGAGCAGAGGTGAAACACTCTTTTTGTGGAATTTGCTAGTGTAGATTTCAAACGCTTCGAAGACAGTGATAGAAAAGGATATATCTTCGTATTAAAAGTAGACAAAATCATTCTCAGGAAACTCTTTGTGATGTGTGTGTTCAACTCACAGAGTTTAACCTTTCTTTTCATAGAGCAGTTTGGAAACACTCTGTTTGTAAAGCCTGCAAGTGCTTTTTTGGACTTCATTGAGGCCTTCGTTGGAAACGGGATTTCTTCATACAACGCTAGACAGAAGAATTCTCAGTAACTTCTTTGTGTTGTGTGTATTCAACTCACAGAGTTGAACCTTTCTTTAGAGAGAGCAGAGTTGAAACACTCTGTTTTTGGAATTTGCAAGTTCAGATTTCAAGCGCTTCTAGGCCTATGGCAGAAAAGGAAATATCCTCGTATAAAAACTACACAGAATCATTCTCGAACAACTACTTTGTGATGTGTGCATTCAACTCACAGAGTTTAACCTTTCTTTTCATAGAGCAGTTTGGAAACACTCTGTTTGTAAAGCCTGCAAGTGCTTTTTTGGACTTCATTGAGGCCTTCGTTGGAAACGGGATTTCTTCATATAATGCTAGACAGAAGAATTCTCAGTCACTTCTTTGTGTTGTGTGTATTCAAGTCACAGAGTTGAACCTTCCTTTACACAGAGCAGTTTTGAAAAACTCTTTCTGTGGAATTTGCAAGTGGAGATTTCAAGCGATTTGAGGCTAATCTTTGAAATGGAAATATCTTCGTGTAAAAACTACACAGAATCATTCTCAGAAACTTCTTTGTTATGTGTGCGTTCAGCTCACAGAGTTCCACCTTTCTTTTCATAGAGCAGTTTGGAAAGACTCTGTCTGTAAAGTCTGCAAGTGATTACTTGGACCCCTTTGAGGACTTCGTTGGAAGCGGGATTTTT
The DNA here is from genome assembly GCF_000001405.40 of Homo sapiens. Taxonomy (NCBI): domain Eukaryota; kingdom Metazoa; phylum Chordata; class Mammalia; order Primates; family Hominidae; genus Homo; species Homo sapiens. The sequence goes on from NC_000010.11 coordinate 40,603,061, forward strand.
TCATTTACTGCTAGACAGAAGAATTCTCAGTAAATCCTTTGTGTTGTGTGTATTCAACTCACAGAGTGGAACCTTCCTTTATTCAGAGCAGTTTTGAAACACTCTTTTTGTGGAATTTGCAAGTGGAGATTTCAAGCGAATTCACGCCAATCTTAGACATGGAAACATCTTCGTATTAAAAGTACACAGAGTCATTCGCAGAAACTAGTTTGTGATGTGTGCCTTCAACTCACGGAGTTTAACCTTTCTTTTCATAGAGCAGTTTGGAAACACTCTATTTGTAAAGTCTGCAAGTGGATATTTGGACCTCTTTGAGGCCTTCGTTGGAAACGGGATTTCTTCATATAACGCTAGACAGAAGAATTCTCAGTAACTTCTTTGTGTTGTGTGTATTCCACTCACAGAGTTGAAGCTTCCTTGAGAGAGAGCAGAGTTGAAACACTCTGTTTGTGGAATTTGCTAGTGCAGATTTCAAACGCTTCGAAGACAGTGATAGAAAAGGATATATCTTCGTATTAAAACTAGACAAAATCATTCTCAGAAAACACTTTGTGATGTGTGTGTTCAACTCACAGAGTTTAACCTTTCTTTAATCGAGCAGTTTGGAAATACACTCTTTGTAAGTCTGCAGCTGGATAATTGTCCCTCTATGAGCCCTTCGTTGGAAACAGGATTTCCTCTTATAATGCTAGACAGAAGAATTCTCAGTCACTTCTTTGTGTTGTGTGTATTCAAGTCACAGAGTTGAACCTTCCTTTAGACAGAGCAGTTTTGAAAAATTCTTTCTGTGGAGTTTGCAAGTGGAGATTTCAAGCGATTTGAGGCTAATCTTTGAAATGGAAATATCTTCGTGTAAAAACTACACAGAATCATTCTCAGAAACTGCTTTGTCATCTGTGCGTTCAGTTCACACAGTTTCACCTTTCTCTTCATAGAGCAGTTTGGAAAGACTCTGTCTGTAAAGTCTGCAAGTGATTAGTTAGACCCCTTTGAGGCCTTCGTTGGAAGCGGGATTTCTCATTTACTGCTAGACAGAAGAATTCTCAGTAACTTCTTTGTGTTGTTTGTATTCAACACACAGATTTGAACCTTCCTTTAGAGAGAGCAGATTTGAAACACTCTGTTTTTGGAATTTGCAAGTGCAGATTTCAAGCGCTTCTAGGCATATGGCAGAAAAGGAAATATCTTCGTATAAAAACTACACAGAATCATTCTCAACAACTACTTTGTGATGTGTGCGTTCAACTCACAGAGTTTAACCTTTCTTTTCATAGAGCAGTTTGGAAACACTCTGTTTGTAAAGCCTGCAAGTGCTTTGTTGGACTTCATTGAGGCCTTCTTTGGAAACGGGATTTCTTCATACAACGCTAGACAGAAGAATTCTCAGTAACTTCTTTGTGTTGTGTGTATTCAACTCACAGAGTTGAACCTTTCTTTAGAGAGAGCAGAGTTGAAACACTCTGTTTTTGGAATTTGCAAGTGCAGATTTCAAGCGATTCTAGGCCTATGGCAGAAAAGGAAATATCTTCGTATAAAAACTACACAGAATCATTCTGAACAACTACTTTGTGATGTGTGCGTTCAACTCACAGAGTTTAACCTTTCTTTTCATAGAGCAGTTTGGAAACACTCTGTTTGTAAAGCCTGCAAGTGCTTTTTTGGACTTCATTGAGGCCTTCGTTGGAAACGGGATTTCTTCATATAATGCTAGACAGAAGAATTCTCAGTCACTTCTTTGTGTTGTGTGTATTCAAGTCACAGAGTTGAACCTTCCTTTAGACAGAGCAGTTTTGAAAAATTCTTTCTGTGGAGTTTGCAAGTGGAGATTTCAAGCGATTTGAGGCTAATCTTTGAAATGGAAATATCTTCGTGTAAAAACTACACAGAATCATTCTCAGAAACTGCTTTGTCATCTGTGCGTTCAGTTCACAGAGTTTCACCTTTCTCTTCATAGAGCAGTTTGGAAAGACTCTGTCTTTAAAGTCTGCAAGTGATTAGTTAGACCCCTTTGAGGCCTTCGTTGGAAGCGGGATTTCTCATTTACTGCTAGACAGAAGAATTCTCAGTAAATCCTTTGTGTTGTGTGTATTCAACTCACAGAGTGGAACCTTCCTTTATTCAGAGCAGTTTTGAAACACTCTTTTTGTGGAAATTGCAAGTGGAGATTTCAAGCGAATTCACGCCAATCTTAGACATGGAAACATCTTCGTATTAAAAGTACACAGAGTCATTCGCAGAAACTAGTTTGTGATGCGTGCCTTCAACTCACGGAGTTTAACCTTTCTTTTCATAGAGCAGTCTGGAAACACTCTCTTTGTAAAGTCTGCAAGTGGATATTTGGACCTCTTTGAGGCCTTCGTTGGAAACGGGATTTCTTCATATAACGCTAGACAGAAGAATTCTCAGTAACTTCTTTGTGTTGTGTGTATTCCACTCACAGAGTTGAACCTTTCTTGAGAGAGAGCAGAGTTGAAACACTCTTTCTGTGGAATTTGCTAGTGCAGATTTCAAACGCTTCGAAGACAGTGATAGAAAAGGATATATCTTCGTATTAAAACTAGACAAAATCATTCTCAGAAAACACTTTGTGATGTGTGTGTTCAACTCACAGAGTTTAACCTTTCTTTAATCGAGCAGTTTGGAAATACACTCTTTGTAAGTCTGCAGCTGGATAATTGTCCCTCTATGAGCCCTTCGTTGGAAACGGGATTTCCTCTTATAATGTTAGACAGAAGAATTCTCAGTTACTTTTTTGTGTTGTGTGTATTCAAGTCACAGAGTTGAACCTTCTTTTAGACAGAGCAGTTTTGAAAAACTCTTTCTGTGGAATTTGCAAGTGGAGATTTCAAGCGATTTGAGGCTAATCTTTCAAATGGAAATATCTTCGTGTAAAAGCTACACAGAATCATTCTCAGAAACTGCTTTGTTATGTGTGCGTTCAGCTCACAGAGTTCCACCTTTCTTTTCATAGAGCAGTTTGGAAAGACTCTGTCTGTAAAGTCTGCAAGTGATTACTTGGACCCCTTTGAGGACTTCGTTGGAAGCGGGATTTTTTCATTTACTGCTAGACAGAAGAATTCTCAGTAAATCCTTTGTGTTGTGTGTATTCAACTCACAGAGTGGAACCTTCCTTTATTCAGAGCAGTTTTGAAACACTCTTTGTGGAATTTGCAAGTGGAGATTTCAAGCGAATTCACGCCAATCTTAGACATGGAAATATCTTCGTATTAAAAGTACACAGAGTCATTCGCAGAAACTAGTTTGTGATGTGTGCCTTCAACTCACAGAGTTTAACCTTTCTTTTCATAGAGCAGTTTGGAAACACTCTATTTGTAAAGTCTGCAAGTGGATATTTGGACCACTTTGAGGCCTTCGTTGGAAACGGGATTTCTTCATATAACGCTAGACAGAAGAATTCTCAGTAACTTCTTTGTGTTGTGTGTATTCAACTCACAGAGTTGAACCTTTCTTTAGAGAGAGCAGAGTTGAAACACTCTGTTTTTGGAATTTGCAAGTGCAGATTTCAAGCGCTTCTAGGCCTATGGCAGAAAAGGAAATATCTTCGTATAAAAACTACACAGAATCATTCTCAACAACTACTTTGTGATGTGTGCGTTCAACTCACAAAGTTTAACCTTTCTTTTCATAGAGAAGTTTGGAAACACTCTGTTTGTAAAGCCTGCAAGTGCTTTTTTGGACTTCATTGAGGCCTTCGTTGGAAACGGGATTTCTTCATATAATGCTAGACAGAAGAATTCTCAGTAAATCCTTTGTGTTGTGTGTATTCAACTCACAGAGTGGAACCTTCCTTTATTCAGAGCAGTTTTGAAAGACTCTTTTTGTGGAATTTGCAAGTGGAGATTTCAAGCGATTTGACGCCAATCTTAGACATGGAAATATCTTCATATTAAAAGTACACAGAGTCATTCGTAAAAACTAGTTTGTGATGTGTGCCTTCAACTCACAGAGTTTAACCTTTCTTTTCATAGAGCAGTTTGGAAACACTCTATTTGTAAAGTCTGCAAGTGGATATTTGGACCTCCTTTGAGGCCTTCGTTGGAAACGGGATTTCTTCATACAACGCTAGACAGAAGAATTCTCAGTTACTTCTTTGTGTTTTGTGTATTCAACTCACAGAGTTGAACCTTTCTTTAGAGAGAGCAGAGTTGAAACACTCTGTTTTTGGAATTTGCAAGTGCAGATTTCAAGCGATTCTAGGCCTATGGCAGAAAAGGAAATATCTTCGTATAAAAACTACACAGAATCATTCTCAACAACTACTTTGTGATGTGTGCGTTCAACTCACAGAGTTTAAACTTTCTTTTCATAGAGCAGTTTGGAAACACTCTGTTTGTAAAGCCTGCAAGTGCTTTTTTGGACTTCATTGAGGCCTTCGTTGGAAACGGGATTTCTTCATATAATGCTAGACAGAAGAATTCTCAGTCACTTCTTTGTGTTGTGTGTATTCAAGTCACAGAGTTGAACCTTCTTTTAGACAGAGCAGTTTTGAAAAATTCTTTCTGTGGAATTTGCAATTGGAGATTTTAAGAGATTTGAGGCTAATCTTTGAAATGGAAATATCTTCGTGTAAAAACTACACAGAATCATTCTCAGAAACTGCTTTGTTATCTGTGCGTTCAGTTCACAGAGTTTCACCTTTCTCTTCATAGAGCAGTTTGGAAAGACTCTGTAAAGTCTGCAAGTGATTAGTTAGACCCCATTGAGGCCTTCGTTGGAAGCGGGATTTCTCATTTACTGCTAGACAGAAGAATTCTCAGTAAATCCTTTGTGTTGTGTGTATTCAACTCACAGAGTGGAACCTTCCTTTATTCAGAGCAGTTTTGAAAAACACTTTTTGTGGAATTTGCAAGTGGAGATTTCAAGCGATTTGACGCCAATCTTAGACATGGAAATATCTTCATATTAAAAGTACACAGAGTCATTCGTAGAAACTAGTGTGTGATGTGTGCCTTCAACTCACAGAGTTTAACCTTTCTTTTCATAGAGCAGTTGGGAAACACTCTATTTGTAAAGTCTGCAAGTGGATATTTGGACCTCTTTGAGGCCTTCGTTGGAAACGGGATTTCTTCATATAACGCTAGACAGAAGAATTCTCAGTAACTTCTTTGTGTTGTGTGTATTCAACTCACAGAGTTGAACCTTTCTTTAGAGGGAGCAGAGGTGAGACACTCTTTTTGTGGAATTTGCAACTGCAGATTTCAAGCGATTACTTGGCCTATGGCAGAAAAGGAAATATCTTCGTATAAAAACTACACAGAATCATTCTCAGAAAACTCTTTGTGATGTGTGTGTTCAACTCACAGAGTTTAACCTTTCTTTAATCGAGCAGTTTGGAAATACACTCTTTGTAAGTCTGCAGGTGGATATTTGGCCCTCTTTGAGCCCTTCGTTGGAAACGGGATTTCCTCATATAATGCTAGACAGAAGAATTCTCAGTAACTTCTTTGTGTTGTTTGTATTCAACACACAGATTTGAACCTTCCTTTAGAGAGAGCAGATTTGAAACACTCTGTTTTTGGAATTTGCAAGTGCAGATTTCAAGCGCTTCTAGGCCTATGGCAGCAAAGGAAATATCTTCGTATAAAAACTACACAGAATCATTCTCAACAACTACTTTGTGATGTGTGAGTTCAACTCACAGAGTTTAACCTTTCTTTTCATAGAGCAGTTTGGAAACACTTTGTTTGTAAAGTCTGCAAGTGCTTATTTGGACTTCTTTGAGGCCTTCGTTGGAAACGGGAGTTCTTCATATAATGCTAGACAGAAGAATTCTCAGTCACTTCTTTGTGTTGTGTGTATTCAAGTCACAGAGTTGAACTTTCCTTTACACAGAGCAGTTTTGAAAAACTCTTTCTGTGGAATTTGCAAGTGGAGATTTCAAGCGATTTGAGGCTAATACTTTGAAATGGAAATAGCTTCGTGTAAAAACTACACAGAATCATTCTCAGAAACTGCTTTGTTATCTGTGCGTTCAGTTCACAGAGTGTCACCTTTCTCTTCATAGAGCAGTTTGGAAAGACTCTGTCTGTAAAGTCTGCAAGTGATTAGTTAGACCCCTTTGAGGCCTTCGTTGGAAGCGGGATTTCTCATTTACTGCTAGACAGAAGAATTCTCAGTAAATCCTTTGTGTTGTGTGTATTCAACTCACAGAGTGGAACCTTCCTTTATTCAGAGCAGTTTTGAAAAACACTTTTTGTGGAATTTGCAAGTGGAGATTTCAAGCGATTTGACGCCAATCTTAGACATGGAAATATCTTCATATTAAAAGTACACAGAGTCATTCGTAGAAACTAGTTTGTGATGTGTGCCTTCAACTCACAGAGTTTAACCTTTCTTTTCATAGAGCAGTTTGGAAACACTCTATTTGTAAAGTCTGCAAGTGGATATTTGGACCTCTTTGAGGCCTTCGTTGGAAACGGGATTTCCTCATATAATGCTAGACAGAAGAATTCTCAGTAACTTCTTTGTGTTGTGTGTATTCAACTCACAGAGTTGAACCTTTCTTTAGAGAGAGCAGAGTTGAAACACTCTGTTTTTGGAATTTGCAAGTGCAGATTTCAAGCGATTCTAGGCCTATGGCAGAAAAGGAAATATCTTCGTATAAAAACTACACAGAAATCATTCTCAACAACTACTTTGTGATGTGTGCGTTGAACTCACAGAGTTTAACCTTTCTTTTCATAGAGCAGTTTGGAAACACTCTGTTTGTAAAGCCTGCAAGTGCTTTTTTGGACTTCATTGACGCCTTCGTTGGAAACGGGATTTCTTCATATAATGCTAGACAGAAGAATTCTCAGTCACTTCTTTGTGTTGTGTGTATTCAAGTCACAGAGTTGAACCTTCTTTTAGACAGAGCAGTTTTGAAAAATTCTTTCTGTGGAATTTGCAAGTGGAGATTTCAAGCGATTTGAGGCTAATCTTTGAAATGGAAATATCTTCGTGTAAAAACTACACAGAATCATTCTCAGAAACTGCTTTGTTATATGTGCGTTCAGTTCACAGAGTTTAACCTTTCTCTTCAGAGAGCAGTTTGGAAAGACTCTGTCTGTTAAGTCCGCAAGTGATTAGTTAGACCCCTTTGAGGCCTTCGTTGGAAGCGGGATTTCCCATTTACTGCTAGACAGAAGAATTCTCAGTAAATCCTTTGTGTTGTGTGTATTCAACTCACAGAGTGGAACCTTCCTTTATTCAGAGCACTTTTGAAAAACACTTTTTGTGGAATTTGCAAGTGGAGATTTCAAGCGATTTGACGCCAATCTTAGACATGGAAATATCTTCATATTAAAAGTACACAGAGTCATTCGTAAAAACTAGTTTGTGATGTGTGCCTTCAACTCACAGAGTTTAACCTTTCTTTTCATAGAGCAGTTTGGAAACACTCTATTTGTAAAGTCTGCAAGTGGATATTTGGACCTCTTTGAGGCCTTCGTTGGAAACGGGATTTCTTCATACAACGCTAGACAGAAGAATTCTCAGTAACTTCTTTGTGTTGTGTGTATTCAACTCACAGAGTTGAACCTTTCTTTAGAGAGAGCAGAGTTGAAACACTCTGTTTTTGGAATTTGCAAGTGCAGATTTCAAGCGATTCTAGGCCTATGGCAGAAAAGGAAATATCTTCGTATAAAAACTACACAGAATCATTCTCAACAACTACTTTGTGATGTGTGCGTTCAACTCACAGAGTTTAACCTTTCTTTTCATAGAGCAGTTTGGAAACACTCTGTTTGTAAAGCCTGCAAGTGCTTTTTTGGACTTCATTGAGGCCTTCGTTGGAAACGGGATTTCTTCATATAATGCTAGACAGAAGAATTCTCAGTCACTTCTTTGTGTTGTTTGTATTGAAGTCACAGAGGTGAACCTTCCTTTAGACAGAGCAGTTTTGAAAAATTCTTTCTGTGGAATTTGCAAGTGGAGATTTCAAGCGATTTGAGGCTAATCTTTGAAATGGAAATATCTTCGTATAAAAACTACACAGAATCATTCTCAACAACTACTTTGAGATGTGTGCGTTCAACTCACAGAGTTTAACCTTTCTTTTCATAGAGCAGTTTGGAAACACTCTGTTTGTAAAGCCTGCAAGTGCTTTTTTGGACTTCATTGAGGCCTTCGTTGGAAACGGGATTTCTTCATATAATGCTAGACAGAAGAATTCTCAGTCACTTCTTTGTGTTGTGTGTATTCAAGTCACAGAGTTGAACCTTCCTTTAGACTGAGCAGTTTTGAAAAATTCTTTCTGTGTAATTTGCAAGTGGAGATTTCAAGCGATTTGAGGCTAATCTTTGAAATGGAAATATCTTCGTGTAAAAACTACACAGAATCATTCTCAGAAACTGCTTTGTCATCTGTGCGTTCAGTTCACAGAGTTTCACCTTTCTCTTCATAGAGCAGTTTGGAAAGACTCTGTCTGTAAAGTCTGCAAGTGATTAGTTAGACCCCTTTGAGGCCTTCGTTGGAAGCGGGATTTCTCATTTACTGCTAGACAGAAGAATTCTCAGTAAATCCTTTGTGTTGTGTGTATTCAACTCACAGAGTGGAACCTTCCTTTATTCAGAGCAGTTTTGAAAAACACTTTTTGTGGAATTTGCAAGTGGAGATTTCAAGCGATTTGACGCCAATCTTAGACATGGAAATATCTTCATATTAAAAGTACACAGAGTCATTCGTAGAAACTAGTTTGTGATGTGTGCCTTCAACTCACAGAGTTTAACCTTTCTTTTCATAGAGCAGTTGGGAAACACTCTATTTGTAAAGTCTGCAAGTGGATATTTGGACCTCTTTGAGGCCTTCGTTGGAAACGGGATTTCTTCATATAACGCTAGACAGAAGAATTCTCAGTAACTTCTTTGTGTTGTGTGTATTTAACTCACAGAGTTGAACCTTTCTTTAGAGAGAGCAGAGTTGAAACACTCTGTTTTTGGAATTTGCAACTGCAGATTTCAAGCGATTCTAGGCCTATGGCAGAAAAGGAAATATCTTCGTATAAAAACTACACAGAATCATTCTCAACAACTACTTTGTGATGTGTGCGTTCAACTCACAGAGTTTAACCTTTCTTTTCATAGAGCAGTTTGGAAACACTCTGTTTGTAAAGCCTGCAAGTGCTTTTTTGGACTTCATTGAGGCCTTCGTTGGAAACGGGATTTCTTCATATAATGCTAGACAGAAGAATTCTCAGTCACTTCTTTGTGTTGTGTGTATTCAAGTCACAGAGTTGAACCTTCCTTTAGACAGAGCAGTTTTGAAAAATTCTTTCTGTGGAGTTTGCAAGTGGAGATTTCAAGCGATTTGAGGCTAATCTTTGAAATGGAAATATCTTCGTGTAAAAACTACACAGAATCATTCTCAGAAACTGCTTTGTCATCTGTGCGTTCAGTTCACAGAGTTTCACCTTTCTCTTCATAGAGCAGTTTGGAAAGACTCTGTCTGTAAAGTCTGCAAGTGATTAGTTAGACCCCTTTGAGGCCTTCGTTGGAAGCGGGATTTCTCATTTACTGCTAGACAGAAGAATTCTCAGTAAATCCTTTGTGTTGTGTGTATTCAACTCACAGAGTGGAACCTTCCTTTATTCAGAGCAGTTTTGAAAAACACTTTTTGTGGAATTTGCAAGTGGAGATTTCAAGCGATTTGACGCCAATCTTAGACATGGAAATATCTTCATATTAAAAGTACACAGAGTCATTCGTAGAAACTAGTTTGTGATGTGTGCCTTCAACTCACAGAGTTTAACCTTTCTTTTCATAGAGCAGTTTAGAAACACTCTATTTGTAAAGTCTGCAAGTGGATATTTGGACCTCTTTGAGGCCTTCGTTGGAAACGGGATTTCTTCATACAACGCTAGACAGAAGAATTCTCAGTAACTTCTTTGTGTTGTGTGTATTCCACTCACAGAGTTGAACCTTTCTTGAGAGAGAGCAGAGTTGAAACACTCTTTTTGTGGAATTTGCTAGTGCAGATTTCAAACGCTTCGAAGACAGTGGTAGAAAAGGATACATCTTCGTATTAAAACTAGACAAAATCATTCTCAGAAAACACTTTGTGATGTGTGTGTTCAACTCACAGAGTTTAACCTTTCTTTAATCGAGCAGTTTGGAAATACACTCTTTGTAAGTCTGCAGCTGGATAATTGTCCCTCTATGAGCCCTTCGTTGGAAACGGGATTTCCTCTTATAATGCTAGACAGAAGAATTCTCAGTAACTTCTTTGTGTTGTTTGTATTCAACTCACAGATTTGAACCTTCCTTTAGAGAGAGCAGATTTGAAACACTCTGTTTTTGGAATTTGCAAGTGCAGATTGCAAGCGCTTCTAGGCCTATGGCAGAAAAGGAAATATCTTCGTATAAAAACTACACAGAATCATTCTCAACAACTACTTTGTGATGTGTGCGTTCAACTCACAGAGTTTAACCTTTCTTTTCATAGAGCAGTTTGGAAACACTCTGTTTGTAAAGTCTGCAGGTGCTTATTTGGACTTCTTTGAGGCCTTCGTTGGAAACGGGATTTCTTCATATAATGCTAGACAGAAGAATTCTCAGTCACTTCTTTGTGTTGTGTGTATTCAAGTCACAGAGTTGAACCTTCCTTTACACAGAGCAGTTTTGAAAAACTCTTTCTGTGGAATTTGCAAGTGGAGATTTCAAGCGATTTGAGGCTAATCTTTGAAATGGAAATATCTTCGTGTAAAAACTACACAGAATCATTGTCAGAAACTGCTTTGTTATGTGTGCGTTCAGCTCACAGAGTTCCACCTTTCTTTTCATAGAGCAGTTTGGAAAGACTCTGTCTGTAAAGTCTGCAAGTGATTACTTGGACCCCTTTGAGGACTTCGTTGGAAGCGGGATTTTTTCATTTACTGCTAGACAGAAGAATTCTCAGTAAATCCTTTGTGTTGTGTGTATTCAACTCACAGAGTGGAACCTTCCTTTATTCAGAGCAGTTTTGAAACACTCTTTTTGTGGAATTTGCAAGTGGAGATTTCAAGCGAATTCACGCCAATCTTAGACATGGAAACATCTTCGTATTAAAAGTACACAGAGTCATTCGCAGAAACTAGTTTGTGATGTGTGCCTTCAACTCACGGAGTTTAACCTTTCTTTTCATAGAGCAGTTTGGAAACACTCTATTTGTAAAGTCTGCAAGTGGATATTTGGACCTCTTTGAGGCCTTCGTTGGAAACGGGATTTCTTCATATAACGCTAGACAGAAGAATTCTCAGTAACTTCTTTGTGTTGTGTGTATTCAACTCACAGAGTTGAACCTTTCTTGAGAGAGAGCAGAGTTGAAACACTCTGTTTGTGGAATTTGCTAGTGCAGATTTCAAACGCTTCGAAGACAGTGATAGAAAAGGATATATCTTCGTATTAAAACTAGACAAAATCATTCTCAGAAAACACTTTGTGATGTGTGTGTTCAACTCACAGAGTTTAACCTTTCTTTAATCGAGCAGTTTGGAAATACACTCTTTGTAAGTCTGCAGCTGGATAATTGTCCCTACTATGAGCCCTTCGTTGGAAACGGGATTTCCTCATATAATGCTAGACAGAAGAATTCTCAGTAACTTCTTTGTGTTGTTTGTATTCAACACACAGATTTGAACCTTCCTTTAGAGAGAGCAGATTTGAAACACTCTGTTTTTGGAATTTGCAAGTGCAGACTTCAAGCGCTTCTAGGCCTATGGCAGAAAAGGAAATATCTTCGTATAAAAAGTACACAGAATCATTCTCAACAACTACTTTGTGATGTGTGCGTTCAACTCACAGAGTTTAACCTTTCTTTTCATAGAGCAGTTTGGAAACACTCTGTTTGTAAAGCCTGCAAGTGCTTTTTTGGACTTCATTGAGGCCTTCGTTGGAAACGGGATTTCTTCATATAATGCTAGACAGAAGAATTCTCAGTCACTTCTTTGTGTTGTGTGTATTCAAGTCACAGAGTTGAACCTTCCTTTAGACAGAGCAGTTTTGAAAAATTCTTTCTGTGGAGTTTGCAAGTGGAGATTTCAAGCGATTTGAGGCTAATCTTTGAAATGGAAATATCTTCGTGTAAAAACTACACAGAATCATTCTCAGAAACTGCTTTGTCATCTGTGCGTTCAGTTCACAGAGTTTCACCTTTCTCTTCATAGAGCAGTTTGGAAAGACTCTGTCTGTAAAGTCTGCAAGTGATTAGTTAGACCCCTTTGAGGCCTTCGTTGGAAGCGGGATTTCTCATTTACTGCTAGACAGAAGAATTCTCAGTAAATCCTTTGTGTTGTGTGTATTCAACTCACAGAGTGGAACCTTCCTTTATTCAGAGCAGTTTTCAAACACTCTTTTTGTGGAATTTGCAAGTGGAGATTTCAAGCGATTTGACGCCAATCTTAGACATGGAAATATCTTCATATTAAAAGTACACAGAGTCATTCGTAGAAACTAGTTTGTGATGTGTGCCTTCAACTCACAGAGTTTAACCTTTCTTTTCGTAGAGCAGTTTGGAAACACTCTATTTGTAAAGTCTGCAAGTGGATATTTGGACCTCTTTGAGGCCTTCGTTGGAAACGGGATTTCTTCATATAACGCTAGACAGAAGAATTCTCAGTAACTTCTTTGTGTTGTGTGTATTCAACTCACAGAGTTGAACCTTTCTTTAGAGGGAGCAGAGGTGAAACACTCTTTTTGTGGAATTTGCTAGTGCAGATTTCAAACGCTTCGAAGACAGTGATAGAAAAGGATATATCTTCGTATTAAAACTAGACAAAATCATTCTCAGAAAACTCTTTGTGATGTGTGTGTTCAACTCACAGAGTTTAACCTTTCTTTAATCGAGCAGTTTGGAAATACACTCTTTGTAAGTCTGCAGGTGGATAATTGGCCCTCTTTGAGCCCTTCGTTGGAAACGGGATTTCCTCATATAATGCTAGACAGAAGAATTCTCAGTAACTTCTTTGTGTTGTTTGTATTCAACTCACAGATGTGAACCTTCCTTTAGAGAGAGCAGATTTGAAACACTCTGTTTTTGGAATTTGCAAGTGTAGATTTCAAGCGATTCTAGGCCTATGGCAGAAAAGGAAATATCTTCCTATAAAAACTACACAGAATCATTCTCAACAACTACTTTGTGACGTGTGCGTTCAACTCACAGAATTTAAACTTTCTTTTCATAGAGCAGTTTGGAAACACTCTGTTTGTAAAGTCTGCAGGTGCTTATTTGGACTTCTTTGAGGCCTTCGTTGGAAACGGGATTTCTTCATATAATGCTAGACAAAGTAATTCTCAGTCACTTCTTTGTGTTGTGTGTATTCAAGTCACAGAGTTGAACCTTCCTTTAGACAGAGTAGTTTTGAAAAATTCTTTCTGTGGAATTTGCAAGTGGAGATTTCAAGCGAATTGAGGCTAATCTTTGAAATGGAAATATCTTCGTGTAAAAACTATACAGAAGCATTCTCAGAAACTGCTTTGTCATCTGTGCGTTCAGTTCACAGAGTTTCACCTTTCTCTTCATAGAGCAGTTTGGAAAGACTCTGTCTTTAAAGTCTGCAAGTGATTAGTTAGACCCCTTTGAGGCCTTCGTTGGAAGCGGGACTTCTCATTTACTGCTAGACAGAAGAATTCTCAGTAAATCCTTTGTGTTGTGTGTATTCAACTCACAGAGTGGAACCTTCCTTTATTCAGAGCAGTTTTGAAAAACACTTTTAGTGGAATTTGCAAGTGGAGATTTCAAGCGATTTGACGCCAATCTTAGACATGGAAATATCTTCATATTAAAAGTACACAGAGTCATTCGTAGAAACTAGTTTGTGATGTGTGCCTTCAACTCACAGTTTAACCTTTCTTTTCATAGAGCAGTTGGGAAACACTCTATTTGTAAAGTCTGCAAGTGGATATTTGGACCTCTTTGAGGCCTTCGTTGGAAACGGGATTTCTTCATATAACGCTAGACAGAAGAATTCTCAGTAACTTCTTTGTGTTGTGTGTATTCAACTCACCGAGCTGAACCTTTCTTTAGAGAGAGCAGAGTTGAAACACTCTTCTTGTGGAATTTGCTAGTGTAGATTTCAAACGCTTCAAAGACAGTGATAGAAAAGGATATATCTTCGTATTAAAACTAGACAAAATCATTCTCAGAAAACACTTTGTGATGTGTGTGTTCAACTCACAGAGTTTAACCTTTCTTTAATCGAGCAGTTTGGAAATACACTCTTTGTAAGTCTGCAGGTGGATAATTGGCCCTCTTTGAGCCCTTCGTTGGAAACGGGATTTCCTCATATAATGCTAGACAGAAGAATTCTCAGTAACTTCTTTGTGTTGTTTGTATTCAACTCACAGATTTGAACCTTCCTTTAGAGAGAGCAGATTTGAAACACTCTGTTTTTGGAATTTGCAAGTGCAGATTTAAAGCGCTTATAGGCCTATGGCAGAAAAGGAAATATCTTCGTATAAAAACTACACAGAATCATTCTCAACAACTACTTTGTGATGTGTGCGTTCAACTCACAGAGTTTAACCTTTCTTTTCATAGAGCAGTTTGGAAACACTCTGTTTGTAAAGCCTGCAAGTGCTTTTTTGGACTTCATTGAGGCCTTCGTTGGAAACGGGATTTCTTCATATAATGCTAGACAGAAGAATTCTCAGTCACTTATTTGTGTTGTGTGTATTCAAGTCACAGAGTTGAACCTTCCTTTAGACAGAGTAGTTTTGAAAAATTCTTTCTGTGGAGTTTGCAAGTGGAGATTTCAAGCGATTTGAGGCTAATCTTTGAAATGGAATTATCTTCGTGTAAAAACTATACAGAATCATTCTCAGAAACTGCTTTGTCATCTGTGCGTTCAGTTCACAGAGTTTCACCTTTCTCTTCATAGAGCAGTTTGGAAAGACTCTGTCTGTAAAGTCTGCAAGTGATTAGTTAGACCCCTTTGAGGCCTTCGTTGGAAGTGGGATTTCTCATTTGCTGCTAGACAGAAGAATTCTCAGTAAATCCTTTGTGTTGTGTGTATTCAACTCACAGAGTGGAACCTTCCTTTATTCAGAGCAGTTTTGAAACACTCTTTTTGTGGAATTTGCAAGTGGAGATTTCAAGCGATTTGACGCCAATCTTAGACATGGAAATATCTTCATATTAAAAGTACACAGAGTCATTCGTAGAAACTAGTGTGTGATGTGTGCCTTCAACTCACAGAGTTTAACCTTTCTTTTCATAGAGCAGTTGGGAAACACTCTATTTGTAAAGTCTGCAAGTGGATATTTGGACCTCTTTGAGGCCTTCGTTGGAAACGGGATTTCTTCATATAACGCTAGACAGAAGAATTCTCAGTAACTTCTTTGTGTTGTGTGTATTCAACTCACAGAGTTGAACCTTTCTTTAGAGGGAGCAGAGGTGAGACACTCTTTTTGTGGAATTTGCAACTGCAGATTTCAAGCGATTCTTGGCCTATGGCAGAAAAGGAAATATCTTCGTATAAAAACTACACAGAGTCATTCTCAACAACTACTTTGTGATGTGTGCGTTCAACTCACAGAGTTTAACCTTTCTTTTCATAGAGCAGTTTGGAAACACTCTGTTTGTAAAGCCTGCAAGTGCTTTTTTGGACTTCATTGAGGCCTTCGTTGGAAATGGGATTTCTTCATATAATGCTAGACAGAAGAATTCTCAGTCACTTCTTTGTGTTGTGTGTATTCAAGTCACAGAGTTGAACCTTACTTTAGACAGAGCAGTTTTGAAAAATTCTTTCTGTGTAATTTGCAAGTGGAGATTTCAAGCGATTTGAGGCTAATCTTTGAAATGGAAATATCTTCGTGTAAAAACTACACAGAATCATTCTCAGAAACTGCTTTGTCATCTGTGCGTTCAGTTCACAGAGTTTCACCTTTCTCTTCATAGAGCAGTTTGGAAAGACTCTGTCTGTAAAGTCTGCAAGTGATTAGTTAGACCCCTTTGAGGCCTTCGTTGGAAGCGGGATTTCTCATTTACTGCTAGACAGAAGAATTCTCAGTAAATCCTTTGTGTTGTGTGTATTCAACTCACAGAGTGGAACCTTCCTTTATTCAGAGCAGTTTTGAAACACTCTTTTTGTGGAATTTGCAAGCGGAGATTTCAAGCGAATTCACGCCAATCTTAGACATGGAAAACATCTTCGTATTAAAAGTACACAGAGTCATTCGTAGAAACTAGTTTGTGATGTGTGCCTTCAACTCACAGAGTTTAACCTTTCTTTTCATAGAGCAGTTGGGAAACACTCTATTTGTAAAGTCTGCAAGTGGATATTTGGACCTCTTTGAGGCCTTCGTTGGAAACGGGATTTCTTCATATAACGCTAGACAGAAGAATTCTCAGTAACTTCTTTGTGTTGTGTGTATTCAACTCACAGAGTTGAACCTTTCTTTAGAGGGAGCAGAGGTGAAACACTCTTTTTGTGGAATTTGCTAGTGTAGATTTCAAACGCTTCGAAGACAGTGATAGAAAAGGATATATCTTCGTATTAAAAGTAGACAAAATCATTCTCAGAAAACTCTTTGTGATGTGTGTGTTCAACTCACAGAGTTTAACCTTTCTTTAATCGAGCAGTTTGGAAATACACTCTTTGTAAGTCTGCAGGTGGATATTTGGCCCTCTTTGAGCCCTTCGTTGGAAACGGGATTTCCTCATATAATGCTAGACAGAAGAATTCTCAGTAACTTCTTTGTGTTGTTTGTATTCAACACACAGATTTGAACCTTCCTTTAGAGAGAGCAGATTTGAAACACTCTGTTTTTGGAATTTGCAAGTGCAGATTTCAAGCGCTTCTAGGCCTATGGCAGAAAAGGAAATATCTTCGTATAAAAACTACACATAATCATTCTCAACAACTACTTTGTGATGTGTGCGTTCAACTCACAGAGTTTAACCTTTCTTTTCATAGAGCAGTTTGGAAACACTCTGTTTGTAAAGCCTGCAAGTGCTTTTTTGGACTTCATTGAGGCCTTCGTTGGAAACGGGATTTCTTCATATAATGCTAGACAGAAGAATTCTCAGTCACTTCTTTGTGTTGTGTGTATTCAAGTCACAGAGTTGAACCTTCCTTTAGACAGAGCAGTTTTGAAAAATTCTTTCTGTGGAGTTTGCAAGTGGAGATTTCAAGCGATTTGAGGCTAATCTTTGAAATGGAAATATCTTCGTGTAAAAACTACACAGAATCATTCTCAGAAACTGCTTTGTCATCTGTGCGTTCAGTTCACAGAGTTTCACCTTTCTCTTCATAGAGCAGTTTGGAAAGACTCTGTCTGTAAAGTCTGCAAGTGATTAGTTAGACCCCTTTGAGGCCTTCGTTGGAAGCGGGATTTCTCATTTATTGCTAGACAGAAGAATTCTCAGTAAATCCTTTGTGTTGCGTGTATTCAACTCACAGAGTGGAACCTTCCTTTATTCAGAGCAGTTTTGAAAAACACTTTTTGTGGAATTTGCAAGTGGAGATTTCAAGCGATTTGACGCCAATCTTAGACATGGAAATATCTTCATATTAAAAGTACACAGAGTCATTCGCAGAAACTAGTTTGTGATGTGTGCCTTCAACTCACAGAGTTTAACCTTTCTTTTCATAGAGCAGTTTGGAAACACTCTATTTGTAAAGTCTGCAAGTGGATATTTGGACGTCTTTGCGGCCTTCGTTGGAAACGGGATTTCTTCATATAACGCTAGACAGAAGAATTCTCAGTAACTTCTTTGTGTTGTGTGTATTCCACTCACAGAGTTGAACCTTTCTTGAGAGAGAGCAGAGTTGAAACACTCTGTTTGTGGAATTTGCTAGTGCCGATTTCAAACGCTTCGAAGACAGTGATAGAAAAGGATATATCTTCGTATTAAAACTAGACAAAATCATTCTCAGAAAACACTTTGTGATGTGTGTGTTCAACTCACAGAGTTTAACCTTCCTTTAATCGAGCAGTTTGGAAATACACTCTTTGTAAGTCTGCAGCTGGATAATTGTCCCTCTATGAGCCCTTCGTTGGAAACGGGATTTCCTCATATAATGCTAGACAGAAGAATCCTCAGTAACTTCTTTGTGTTGTTTGTATTCAACTCACAGATTTGAACCTTCCTTTAGAGAGAGCAGATTTGAAACACTCTGGTTTTGGAATTTGCAAGTGCAGATTACAAGCGCTTCTAGGCCTATGGCAGAAAATTAAATATCTTCGTATAAAAACTACACAGAATCATTCTCAACAACTACTTTGTGATGTGTGCGTTCAACTCACAGAGTTTAACCTTTCTTTTCATAGAGCAGTTTGGAAACACTCTGTTTGTAAAGTCTGCAGGTGCTTATTTGGACTTCTTTGAGGCCTTCGTTGGAAACGGGATTTCTTCATATAATGCTAGACAGAAGAATTCTCAGTCACTTCTTTGTGTTGTGTGTATTCAAGTCACAGAGTTGAACCTTCCTTTACACAGAGCAGTTTTGAAAAACTCTTTCTGTGGAATTTGCAAGTGGAGATTTCAAGCGATTTGAGGCTAATCTTTGAAATGGAAATATCTTCGTGTAAAAACTACACAGAATCATTCTCAGAAACTGCTTTGTTATGTGTGCGTTCAGCTCACAGAGTTCCACCTTTCTTTTCATAGAGCAGTTTGGAAAGACTCTGTCTGTAAAGTCTGCAAGTGATTACTTGGACCCCTTTGAGGACTTCGTTGGAAGCGGGATTTTTTCATTTACTGCTAGACAGAAGAATTCTCAGTAAATCCTTTGTGTTGTGTGTATTCAACTCACAGAGTGGAACCTTCCTTTATTCAGAGCAGTTTTGAAACACTCTTTTTGTGGAATTTGCAAGTGGAGATTTCAAGCGAATTCACGCCAATCTTAAACATGGAAACATCTTCGTATTAAAAGTACACAGAGTCATTCGCAGAAACTAGTTTGTGATGTGTGCCTTCAACTCACAGAGTTTAACCTTTCTTTTCATAGAGCAGTTTGGAAACACTCTATTTGTAAAGTCTGCAAGTGGATATTTGGACCTCTTTGAGGCCTTCGTTGGAAACGGGATTTCTTCATATAACGCTAGACAGAAGAATTCTCAGTAACTTCTTTGTGTTGTGTGTATTCCACTCACAGAGTTGAACCTTTCTTGAGAGAGAGCAGAGTTGAAACACTCTGTTTGTGGAATTTGCTAGTGCAGATTTCAAACGCTTCAAAGACAGTGATAGAAAAGGATATATCTTCGTATTAAAACTAGACAAAATCATTCTCAGAAAACACTTTGTGATGTGTGTGTTCAACTCACAGAGTTTAACCTTTCTTTAATCGAGCAGTTTGGAAATACACTCTTTGTAAGTCTGCAGCTGGATAATTGTCCCTCTATGAGCCCTTCGTTGGAAACAGGATTTCCTCTTATAATGCTAGACAGAAGAATTCTCAGTCACTTCTTTGTGTTGTGTGTATTCAAGTCACAGAGTTGAACCTTCCTTTACACAGAGCAGTTTTGAAAAACTCTTTCTGTGGAATTTGCAAGTGGAGATTTCAAGCGATTTGAGGCTAATCTTTGAAATGGAAATAGCTTCGTGTAAAAACTACACAGAATCATTCTCAGAAACTACTTTGTTATGTGTGCGTTCAGCTCACAGAGTTCCACCTTTCTTTTCATAGAGCAGTTTGGAAAGACTCTGTCTGTAAAGTCTGCAAGTGATTACTTGGACCCCTTTGAGGACTTCGTTGGAAGCGGGATTTTTTCATTTACTGCTAGACAGAAGAATTCTCAGTAAATCCTTTGTGTTGTGTGTATTCAACTCACAGAGTGGAACCTTCCTTTATTCAGAGCAGTTTTGAAACACTCTTTTTGTGGAATTTGCAAGTGGAGATTTCAAGCGAATTCACGCCAATCTTAGACATGGAAACATCTTCGTATTAAAAGTACACAGAGTCATTCGCAGAAACTAGTTTGTGATGTGTGCGTTCAACTCACAGAGTTTAACCTTTCTTTTCATAGAGCAGTTTGGAAACACTCTGTTTGTAAAGTCTGCAGGTGCTTATTTGGACTTCTTTGAGGCCTTCGTTGGAAACGGGATTTCTTCATATAATGCTAGACAGAAGAATTCTCAGTCACTTCTTTGTGTTGTGTGTATTCAAGTCACAGAGTTGAACCTTCCTTTACACAGAGCAGTTTTGAAAAACTCTTTCTGTGGAATTTGCAAGTGGAGATTTCAAGCGATTTGAGGCTAATATTTGAAATGGAAATAGCTTCGTGTAAAAACTACACAGAATCATTCTCAGAAACTGCTTTGTTATGTGTGCGTTCAGCTCACAGAGTTCCACCTTTCTTTTCATAGAGCAGTTTGGAAAGACTCTGTCTGTAAAGTCTGCAAGTGATTACTTGGACCCCTTTGAGGACTTCGTTGGAAGCGGGATTTTTTCATTTACTGCTAGACAGAAGAATTCTCAGTAAATCCTTTGTGTTGTGTGTATTCAACTCACAGAGTGGAACCTTCCTTTATTCAGAGCAGTTTTGAAACACTCTTTTTGTGGAATTTGCAAGTGGAGATTTCAAGCGAATTCACGCCAATCTTAGACATGGAAACATCTTCGTATTAAAAGTACACAGAGTCATTCGCAGAAACTAGTTTGTGATGTGTGCCTTCAACTCACGGAGTTTAACCTTTCTTTTCATAGAGCAGTTTGGAAACACTCTATTTGTAAAGTCTGCAAGTGGATATTTGGACCTCTTTGAGGCCTTCGTTGGAAACGGGATTTCTTCATATAACGCTAGACAGAAGAATTCTCAGTAACTTCTTTGTGTTGTGTGTATTCCACTCACAGAGTTGAACCTTTCTTGAGAGAGAGCAGAGTTGAAACACTCTTTCTGTGGAATTTGCTAGTGCAGATTTCAAACGCTTCGAAGACAGTGATAGAAAAGGATATATCTTCGTATTAAAACTAGACAAAATCATTCTCAGAAAACACTTTGTGATGTGTGTGTTCAACTCACAGAGTTTAACCTTTCTTTAATCGAGCAGTTTGGAAATACACTCTTTGTAAGTCTGCAGCTGGATAATTGTCCCTCTATGAGCCCTTCGTTGGAAACGGGATTTCCTCATATAATGCTAGACAGAAGAATTCTCAGTAACTTCTTTGTGTTGTTTGTATTCAACTCACAGATTTGAACCTTCCTTTAGAGAGAGCAGATTTGAAACACTCTGGTTTTGGAATTTGCAAGTGCAGATTACAAGCGCTTCTAGGCCTATGGCAGAAAAGGAAATATCTTCGTATAAAAACTACACAGAATCATTCTCAACAACTACTGTGTGATGTGTGCGTTCAACTCACAGAGTTTAACCTTTCTTTTCATAGAGCAGTTTGGAAACACTCTGTTTGTAAAGTCTGCAGGTGCTTATTTGGACTTCTTTGAGGCCTTCGTTGGAAACGGGATTTCTTCATATAATGCTAGACAGAAGAATTCTCAGTCACTTCTTTGTGTTGTGTGTATTCAAGTCACAGAGTTGAACCTTCCTTTACACAGAGCAGTTTTGAAAAACTCTTTCTGTGGAATTTGCAAGTGGAGATTTCAAGCGATTTGAGGCTAATCTTTGAAATGGAAATATCTTCGTGTAAAAACTACACAGAATCATTCTCAGAAACTGCTTTGTTATGTGTGCGTTCAGCTCACAGAGTTCCACCTTTCTTTTCATAGAGCAGTTTGGAAAGACTCTGTCTGTAAAGTCTGCAAGTGATTACTTGGACCCCTTTGAGGACTTCGTTGGAAGCGGGATTTTTTCATTTACTGCCAGACAGAAGAATTCTCAGTCACTTCTTTGTGTTGTGTGTATTCAAGTCACAGAGTTGAACCTTCCTTTATTCAGAGCAGTTTTGAAACACTCTTTTTGTGGAATTTGCAAGTGGAGATTTCAAGCGAATTCACGCCAATCGTAGACATGGAAACATCTTCGTATTAAAAGTACACAGAGTCATTCGCAGAAACTAGTTTGTGATGTGTGCCTTCAACTCACAGAGTTTAACCTTTCTTTTCATAGAGCAGTTTGGAAACACTCTATTTGTAAAGTCTGCAAGTGGATATTTGGACCTCTTTGAGGCCTTCGTTGGAAACGGGATTTCTTCATATAACGCTAGACAGAAGAATTCTCAGTAACTTGTTTGTGTTGTGTGTATTCCACTCACAGAGTTGAACCTTTCTTGAGAGAGAGCAGAGTTGAAACACTCTGTTTGTGGAATTTGCTAGTGCAGATTTCAAACGCTTCGAAGACAGTGATAGAAAAGGATATATCTTCGTATTAAAACTAGACAAAATCATTCTCAGAAAACACTTTGTGATGTGTGTGTTCAACTCACAGAGTTTAACCTTTCTTTAATCGAGCAGTTTGGAAATACACTCTTTGTAAGTCTGCAGCTGGATAATTGTCCCTCTATGAGCCCTTCGTTGGAAACGGGATTTCCTCTTATAATGCTAGACAGAAGAATTCTCAGTAACTTCTTTGTGTTGTTTGTATTCAACTCACAGATTTGAACCTTCCTTTAGAGAGAGCAGATTTGAAACACTCTGTTTTCGGAATTTGCAAGTGCAGATTACAAGCGCTTCTAGGCCTATGGCAGAAAAGGAAATATCTTCGTATAAAAACTACACAGAATCATTCTCAACAACTACTTTGTGATGTGTGCGTTCAACTCACAGAGTTTAACCTTTCTTTTCATAGAGCAGTTTGGAAACACTCTGTTTGTAAAGTCTGCAGGTGCTTATTTGGACTTCTTTGAGGCCTTCGTTGGAAACGGGATTTCTTCATATAATGCTAGACAGAAGAATTCTCAGTCACTTCTTTGTGTTGTGTGTATTCAAGTCACAGAGTTGAACCTTCCTTTACACAGAGCAGTTTTGAAAAACTCTTTCTGTGGAATTTGCAAGTGGAGATTTCAAGCGATTTGAGGCTAATCTTTGAAATGGAAATATCTTCGTGTAAAAACTACACAGAATCATTCTCAGAAACTGCTTTGTTATGTGTGCGTTCAGCTCACAGAGTTCCACCTTTCTTTTCATAGAGCAGTTTGGAAAGACTCTGTCTGTAAAGTCTGCAAGTGATTACTTGGACCCCTTTGAGGACTTCGTTGGAAGCGGGATTTTTTCATTTACTGCTAGACAGAAGAATTCTCAGTAAATCCTTTGTGTTGTGTGTATTCAACTCACAGAGTGGAACCTTCCTTTATTCAGAGCAGTTTTGAAACACTCTTTTTGTGGAATTTGCAAGTGGAGATTTCAAGCGAATTCACGCCAATCTTAGACATGGAAACATCTTCGTATTAAAAGTACACAGAGTCATTCGCAGAAACTAGTTTGTGATGTGTGCCTTCAACTCACGGAGTTTAACCTTTCTTTTCATAGAGCAGTTTGGAAACACTCTATTTGTAAAGTCTGCAAGTGGATATTTGGACCTCTTTGAGGCCTTCGTTGGAAACGGGATTTCTTCATATAACGCTAGACAGAAGAATTCTCAGTAACTTCTTTGTGTTGTGTGTATTCAACTCACAGAGTTGAACCTTTCTTGAGAGAGAGCAGAGTTGAAACACTCTGTTTGTGGAATTTGCTAGTGCAGATTTCAAACGCTTCGAAGACAGTGATAGAAAAGGATATATCTTCGTATTAAAACTAGACAAAATCATTCTCAGAAAACACTTTGTGATGTGTGTGTTCAACTCACAGAGTTTAACCTTTCTTTAATCGAGCAGTTTGGAAATACACTCTTTGTAAGTCTGCAGCTGGATAATTGTCCCTCTATGAGCCCTTCGTTGGAAACGGGATTTCCTCTTATAATGCTAGACAGAAGAATTCTCAGTAACTTCTTTGTGTTGTTTGTATTCAACACACAGTTTTGAACCTTCCTTTAGAGAGAGCAGATTTGAAACACTCTGTTTTTGGAATTTGCAAGTGCAGATTTCAAGCGCTTCTAGGCCTATGGCAGAAAAGGAAATATCTTCGTATAAAAACTACACAGAATCATTCTCAACAACTACTTTGTGATGTGTGCGTTCAACTCACAGAGGTTAACCTTTCTTTTCATAGAGCAGTTTGGAAACACTCTGTTTGTAAAGCCTGCAAGTGCTTTTTTGGACTTCATTGAGGCCTTCGTTGGAAACGGGATTTCTTCATACAACGCTAGACAGAAGAATTCTCAGTCACTTCTTTGTGTTGTGTGTATTCAACTCACAGAGTTGAACCTTTCTTTAGAGAGAACAGAGTTGAAACACTCTGTTTTTGGAATTTGCAATTGCAGATTTCAAGCGATTCTAGGCCTATGGCAGAAAAGGAAATATCTTCGTATAAAAACTACACAGAATCATTCTCAACAACTACTTTGTGATGTGTGCATTCAACTCACATAGTTTAACCTTTCTTTTCATAGAGCAGTTTGGAAACAGTCTGTTTGTAAAGCCTGCAAGTGCTTTTTTGGACTTCATTGAGGCCTTCGTTGGAAACGGGATTTCTTCATATAATGCTAGACAGAAGAATTCTCAGTCACTTCTTTGTGTTGTGTGTATTCAAGTCACAGAGTTGAACCTTCCTTTACACAGAGCAGTTTTGAAAAACTCTTTCTGTGGAATTTGCAAGTGGAGATTTCAAGCGATTTGAGGCTAATCTTTGAAATGGAAATAGCTTCGTGTAAAAACTACACAGAATCATTCTCAGAAACTTCTTTGTTATGTGTGCGTTCATTTCACAGAGTTCCACCTTTCTTTTCATAGAGCAGTTTGGAAAGACTCTGTCTGTAAAGTCTGCAAGTGATTACTTGGACCCCTTTGAGGACTTCGTTGGAAGCGGGATTTTTTCATTTACTGCTAGACAGAAGAATTCTCAGTAAATCCTTTGTGTTGTGTGTATTCAACTCACAGAGTGGAACCTTCCTTTATTCAGAGCAGTTTTGAAACACTCTTTTTGTGGAATTTGCAAGTGGAGATTTCAAGCGAATTCACGCCAATCTTAGACATGGAAACATCTTCGTATTAAAAGTACACAGAGTCATTCGCAGAAACTAGTTTGTGATGTGTGCCTTCAACTCACGGAGTTTAACCTTTCTTTTCATAGAGCAGATTGGAAACACTCTATTTGTAAAGTCTGCAAGTGGATATTTGGACCTCTTTGAGGCCTTCGTTGGAAACGGGATTTCTTCATATAACGCTAGACAGAAGAATTCTCAGTAACTTCTTTGTGTTGTGTGTATTCAACTCACAGAGTTGAACCTTTCTTGAGAGAGAGCAGAGTTGAAACACTCTGTTTGTGGAATTTGCTAGTGCAGATTTCAAACGCTTCGAAGACAGTGATAGAAAAGGATATATCTTCGTATTAAAACTAGACAAAATCATTCTCAGAAAACACTTTGTGATGTGTGTGTTTAACTCACAGAGTTTAACCTTTCTTTAATCGAGCAGTTTGGAAATACACTCTTTGTAAGTCTGCAGCTGGATAATTGTCCCTCTATGAGCCCTTCGTTGGAAACGGGATTTCCTCTTATAATGCTAGACAGAAGAATTCTCAGTAACTTCTTTGTGTTGTTTGTATTCAACTCACAGATTTGAACCTTCCTTTGGAGAGAGCAGATTTGAAACACTCTGTTTTTGGAATTTGCAAGTGCAGATTGCAAGCGCTTCTAGGCCTATGGCAGAAAATTAAATATCTTCGTATAAAAACTACACAGAATCATTCTCAACAACTACTTTGTGATGTGTGTGTTCAACTCACAGAGTTTAACCTTTCTTTTCATAGAGCAGTTTGGAAACACTCTGTTTGTAAAGTCTGCAGGTGCTTATTTGGACTTCTTTGAGGCCTTCGTTGGAAACGGGATTTCTTCATATAATGCTAGACAGAAGAATTCTCAGTCACTTCTTTGTGTTGTGTGTATTCAAGTCACAGAGTTGAACCATCCTTTACACAGAGCAGTTTTGAAAAACTCTTTCTGTGGAATTTGCAAGTGGAGATTTCAAGCGATTTGAGGCTAATCTTTGAAATGGAAATAGCTTCGTGTAAAAACTACACAGAATCATTCTCAGAAACTGCTTTGTTATGTGTGCGTTCAGCTCACAGAGTTCCACCTTTCTTTTCATAGAGCAGTTTGGAAAGACTCTGTCTGTAAAGTCTGCAAGTGATTACTTGGACCCCTTTGAGGACTTCGTTGGAAGCGGGATTTTTTCATTTACTGCTAGACAGAAGAATTCTCAGTAAATCCTTTGTGTTGTGTGTATTCAACTCACAGAGTGGAACCTTCCTTTATTCAGAGCACTTTTGAAACACTCTTTTTGTGGAATTTGCAAGTGGAGATTTCAAGCGAATTCACGCCAATCTTAGACATGGAAACATCTTCGTATTAAAAGTACACAGAGTCATTTGCAGAAACTAGTTTGTGATGTGTGCCTTCAACTCACGGAGTTTAACCTTTCTTTTCATAGAGCAGTTTGGAAACACTCTATTTGTAAAGTCTGCAAGTGGATATTTGGACCTCTTTGAGGCCTTCGTTGGAAACGGGATTTCTTCATATAACGCTAGACAGAAGAATTCTCAGTAACTTCTTTGTGTTGTGTGTATTCAACTCACAGAGTTGAACCTTTCTTGAGAGAGAGCAGAGTTGAAACACTCTGTTTGTGGAATTTGCTAGTGCAGATTTCAAACGCTTCGAAGACAGTGATAGAAAAGGATATATCTTCGTATTAAAACTAGACAAAATCATTCTCAGAAAACACTTTGTGATGTGTGCGTTCAACTCACAGAGTTTAACCTTTCTTTAATCGAGCAGTTTGGAAATACACTCTTTGTAAGTCTGCAGCTGGATAATTGTCCCTCTATGAGCCCTTCGTTGGAAACGTGATTTCCTCTTATAATGCTAGACAGAAGAATTCTCAGTAACTTCTTTGTGTTGTTTGTATTCAACTCACAGATTTGAACCTTCCTTTGGAGAGAGCAGATTTGAAACACTCTGTTTTTGGAATTTGCAAGTGCAGATTGCAAGCGCTTCTAGGCCTATGGCAGAAAAGGAAATATCTTCGTATAAAAACTACACAGAATCATTCTCAACAACTACTTTGTGATGTGTGCGTTCAGCTCACAGAGTTTAACCTTTCTTTTCATAGAGCAGTTTGGAAACACTCTGTTTGTAAAGTCTGCAGGTGCTTATTTGGACTTCTTTGAGGCCTTCGTTGGAAACGGGATTTCTTCATATAATGCTAGACACAAGAATTCTCAGTCACTTCTTTGTGTTGTGTGTATTCAAGTCACAGAGTTGAACCTTCCTTTACACAGAGCAGTTTTGAAAAACTCTTTCTGTGGAATTTGCAAGTGGAGATTTCAAGCGATTTGAGGCTAATCTTTGAAATGGAAATATCTTCGTGTAAAAACTACACAGAATCATTCTCAGAAACTGCTTTGTTATGTGTGCGTTCAGCTCACAGAGTTCCACCTTTCTTTTCATAGAGCAGTTTGGAAAGATTCTGTCTGTAAAGTCTGCAAGTGATTACTTGGACCCCTTTGAGGACTTCGTTGGAAGCGGGATTTTTTCATTTACTGCTAGACAGAAGAATTCTCAGTAAATCCTTTGTGTTGTGTGTATTCAACTCACAGAGTGGAACCTTCCTTTATTCAGAGCAGTTTTGAAACACTCTTTTTGTGGAATTTGCAAGTGGAGATTTCAAGCGAATTCACGCCAATCTTAGACATGGAAACATCTTCGTATTAAAAGTACACAGAGTCATTCGCAGAAACTAGTTTGTGATGCGTGCGTTCAACTCACGGAGTTTAACCTTTCTTTTCATAGAGCAGTTTCGAAACACTCTGTTTGTAAAGTCTGCAGGTGCTTATTTGGACTTCTTTGAGGCCTTCGTTGGAAACGGGATTTCTTCATATAATGCTAGACAGAAGAATTCTCAGTCACTTCTTTGTGTTGTGTGTATTCAAGTCACAGAGTTGAACCTTCCTTTACACAGAGCAGTTTTGAAAAACTCTTTCTGTGGAATTTGCAAGTGGAGATTTCAAGCGATTTGAGGCTAATCTTTGAAATGGAAATATCTTCGTGTAAAAACTACACAGAATCATTCTCAGAAACTGCTTTGTTATGTGTGCGTTCAGCTCACAGAGTTCCACCTTTCTTTTCATAGAGCAGTTTGGAAAGACTCTGTCTGTAAAGTCTGCAAGTGATTACTTGGACCCCTTTGAGGAGTTCGTTGGAAGCGGGATTTTTTCATTTACTGCTAGACAGAAGAATTCTCAGTAAATCCTTTGTGTTGTGTGTATTCAACTCACAGAGTGGAACCTGCCTTTATTCAGAGCAGTTTTGAAACACTCTTTTTGTGGAATTTGCAAGTGGAGATTTCAAGCGAATTCACGCCAATCTTAGACATGGAAACATCTTCGTATTAAAAGTACACAGAGTCATTCGCAGAAACTGGTTTGTGATGTGTGCCTTCAACTCACAGAGTTTAACCTTTCTTTTCATAGAGCAGTTTGGAAACACTCTATTTGTAAAGTCTGCAAGTGGATATTTGGACCTCTTTGAGGCCTTCGTTGGAAACGGGATTTCTTCATATAACGCTAGACAGAAGAATTCTCAGTAACTTCTTTGTGTTGTGTGTATTCCACTCACAGAGTTGAACCTTTCTTGAGAGAGAGCAGAGTTGAAACACTCTGTTTGTGGAATTTGCTAGTGCAGATTTCAAACGCTTCGAAGACAGTGATAGAAAAGGATATATCTTCGTATTAAACCTAGACAAAATCATTCTCAGAAAACACTTTGTGATGTGTGTGTTCAACTCACAGAGTTTAACCTTTCTTTAATCGAGCAGTTTGGAAATACACTCTTTGTAAGTCTGCAGCTGGATAATTGTCCCTCTATGAGCCCTTCGTTGGAAACGGGATTTCCTCATATAATGCTAGACAGAAGAATTCTCAGTAACTTCTTTGTGTTGTTTGTATTCAACTCACAGATTTGAACCTTCCTTTGGAGAGAGCAGATTTGAAACACTCTGTTTTTGGAATTTGCAAGTGCAGATTGCAAGCGCTTCTAGGCCTATGGCAGAAAAGGAAATATCTTCGTATAAAAACTACACAGAATCATTCTCAACAACTACTTTGTGATGTGTGCGTTCAACTCACAGAGTTTAACCTTTCTTTTCATAGAGAAGTTTGGAAACACTCTGTTTGTAAAGTCTGCAGGTGCTTATTTGGACTTCTTTGAGGCCTTCGTTGGAAACGGGATTTCTTCATATAATGCTAGACAGAAGAATTCTCAGTCACTTCTTTGTGTTGTGTGTATTCAAGTCACAGAGTTGAACCTTCCTTTACACAGAGCAGTTTTGAAAAACTCTTTCTGTGGAATTTGCAAGTGGAGATTTCAAGCGATTTGAGGCTAATCTTTGAAATGGAAATATCTTCGTGTAAAAACTACACAGAATCATTGTCAGAAACTGCTTTGTTATGTGTGCGTTCAGCTCACAGAGTTCCACCTTTGTTTTCATATAGCAGTTTGGAAAGACTCTGTCTGTAAAGTCTGCAAGTGATTACTTGGACCCCTTTGAGGACTTCGTTGGAAGCGGGATTTTTTCATTTACTGCTAGACAGAAGAATTCTCAGTAAATCCTTTGTGTTGTGTGTATTCAACTCACAGAGTGGAACCTTCCTTTATTCAGAGCAGTTTTGAAACACTCTTTTTGTGGAATTTGCAAGTGGAGATTTCAAGCGAATTCACGCCAATCTTAGACATGGAAACATCTTCGTATTAAAAGTACACAGAGTCATTCGCAGAAACTACTTTGTGATGTGTGCCTTCAACTCACAGAGTTTAACCTTTCTTTTCATAGAGCAGTTTGGAAACACTCTATTTGTAAAGTCTGCAAGTGGATATTTGGACGTCTTTGAGGCCTTCGTTGGAAACGGGATTTCTTCATGTAACGCTAGACAGAAGAATTCTCAGTAACTTCTTTGTGTTGTGTGTATTCCACTCACAGAGTTGAACCTTTCTTGAGAGAGAGCAGAGTTGAAACACTCTGTTTGTGGAATTTGCTAGTGCAGATTTCAAACGCTTCGAAGACAGTGATAGAAAAGGATATATCTTCGTATTAAAACTAGACAAAATCATTCTCAGAAAACACTTTGTGATGTGTGTGTTCAACTCACAGAGTTTAACCTTTCTTTAATCGAGCAGTTTGGAAATACACTCTTTGTAAGTCTGCAGCTGGATAATTGTCCCTCTATGAGCCCTTCGTTGGAAACGGGATTTCCTCATATAATGCTAGACAGAAGAATTCTCAGTAACTTCTTTGTGTTGTTTGTATTCAACTCACAGATTTGAACCTTCCTTTGGAGAGAGCAGATTTGAAACACTCTGTTTTTGGAATTTGCAAGTGCAGATTGCAAGCGCTTCTAGGCCTATGGCAGAAAAGGAAATATCTTCGTATAAAAACTACACAGAATCATTCTCAACAACTACTTTGTGATGTGTGCGTTCAACTCACAGAGTTTAACCTTTCTTTTCATAGAGCAGTTTGGAAACACTCTGTTTGTAAAGCCTGCAAGTGCTTTTTTGGACTTCATTGAGGCCTTCGTTGGAAACGGGATTTCTTCATATAATGCTAGACAGAAGAATTCTCAGTCACTTCTTTGTGTTGTGTGTATTCAAGTCACAGAGTTGAACCTTCCTTTAGACAGAGCAGTTTTGAAAAATTCTTTCTGTGGAGTTTGCAAGTGGAGATTTCAAGCGATTTGAGGCTAATCTTTGAAATGGAAATATCTTCGTGTAAAAACTACACAGAATCATTCTCAGAAACTGCTTTGTCATCTGTGCGTTCAGTTCACAGAGTTTCACCTTTCTCTTCATAGAGCAGTTTGGAAAGACTCTGTCTGTAAAGTCTGCAAGTGATTAGTTAGACCCCTTTGAGGCCTTCATTGGAAGCGGGATTTCTCATTTACTGCTAGACAGAAGAATTCTCAGTAAATCCTTTGTGTTGTGTGTATTCAACTCACAGAGTGGAACCTTCCTTTATTCAGAGCAGTTTTGAAAAACACTTTTTGTGGAATTTGCAAGTGGAGATTTCAAGCGATTTGACGCCAATCTTAGACAGAGAAATATCTTCATATTAAAAGTACACAGAGTCATTCGTAGAAACTAGTATGTGATGTGTGCCTTCAACTCACAGAGTTTAACCTTTTTTTTCATAGAGCAGTTTGGAAACACTCTATTTGTAAAATCTGCAAGTGGATATTTGGACCTCTTTGAGGCCTTCGTTGGAAACGGGATTTCTTCATACAACGCTAGACAGAAGAATTCTCAGTAACTTGTTTGTGTTGTGTGTATTCAACTCACAGAGTTGAACCTTTCTTTAGAGAGTGCAGAGTTGAAACACTCTGTTTTTGGAATTTGCAAGTGCAGATTTCAAGCGCTTCTAGGCCTATGGCAGAAAAGGAAATATCTTCGTATAAAAACTACACAGAATCATTCTCAGAAAACACTTTGTGATGTGTGTGTTCAACTCACAGAGTTTAACCTTTCTTTAATCGAGCAGTTTGGAAATACACTCTTTGTAAGTCTGCAGCTGGATAATTGTCCCTCTATGAGCCCTTCGTTGGAAACGGGATTTCCTCTTATAATGCTAGACAGAAGAATTCTCAGTAACTTCTTTGTGTTGTTTGTATTCAACTCACAGATTTGAACCTTCCTTTGGAGAGAGCAGATTTGAAACACTCTGTTTTTGGAATTTGCAAGTGCAGATTTCAAGCGCTTCTAGGCCTATGGCAGAAAATTAAATATCTTCGTATAAAAACTACACAGAATCATTCTCAACAACTACTTTGTGATGTGTGCGTTCAACTCACAGAGTTTAACCTTTCTTTTCATAGAGCAGTTTGGAAACACTCTGTTTGTAAAGTCTGCAGGTGCTTATTTGGACTTCTTTGAGGCCTTCGTTGGAAACGGGATTTCTTCATATAATGCTAGACAGAAGAATTCTCAGTCACTTCTTTGTGTTGTGTGTATTCAAGTCACAGAGTTGAACCTTCCTTTACACAGAGCAGTTTTGAAAAACTCTTTCTGTGGAATTTGCAAGTGGAGATTTCAAGCGATTTGAGGCTAATCTTTGAAATGGAAATAGCTTCGTGTAAAAACTACACAGAATCATTCTCAGAAACTGCTTTGTTATGTGTGCGTTCAGCTCACAGAGTTCCACCTTTCTTTTCATAGAGGAGTTTGGAAAGACTCTGTCTGTAAAGTCTGCAAGTGATTACTTGGACCCCTTTGAGGACTTCGTTGGAAGCGGGATTTTTTCATTTACTGCTAGACAGAAGAATTCTCAGTAAATCCTTTGTGTTGTGTGTATTCAACTCACAGAGTGGAACCTTCCTTTATTCAGAGCAGTTTTGAAACACTCTTTTTGTGCAATTTGCAAGTGGAGATTTCAAGCGATTTGACGCCAATCTTAGACATGGAAATATCTTCATATTAAAAGTACACAGAGTCATTCGCAGAAACTAGTTTGTGATGTGTGCCTTCAACTCACGGAGTTTAACCTTTCTTTTCATAGAGCAGTTTGGAAACACTCTATTTGTAAAGTCTGCAAGTGGATATTTGGACCTCTTTGAGGCCTTCGTTGGAAACGGGATTTCTTCATATAACGCTAGACAGAAGAATTCTCAGTAACTTCTTTGTGTTGTGTGTATTCAACTCACAGAGTTGAACCTTTCTTGAGAGAGAGCAGAGTTGAAACACTCTGTTTGTGGAATTTGCTAGTGCAGATTTCAAACGCTTCGAAGACAGTGATAGAAAAGGATATATCTTCGTATTAAAACTAGACAAAATCATTCTCAGAAAACACTTTGTGATGTGTGTGTTCAACTCACAGAGTTTAACCTTTCTTTAATCGAGCAGTTTGGAAATACACTCTTTGTAAGTCTGCAGCTGGATAATTGTCCCTCTATGAGCCCTTCGTTGGAAACGGGATTTCCTCTTATAATGCTAGACAGAAGAATTCTCAGTAACTTCTTTGTGTTGTTTGTATTCAA
This sequence comes from Homo sapiens, assembly GCF_000001405.40. Taxonomy (NCBI): domain Eukaryota; kingdom Metazoa; phylum Chordata; class Mammalia; order Primates; family Hominidae; genus Homo; species Homo sapiens. The sequence continues at coordinate 40,636,045 of NC_000010.11, forward strand.
CTCACAGATTTGAACCTTCGTTTAGAGAGAGCAGATTTGAAACACTCTGTTTTCGGAATTTGCAAGTGCAGATTACAAGCGCTTCTAGGCCTATGGCAGAAAAGGAAATATCTTCGTATAAAAACTACACAGAATCATTCTCAACAACTACTTTGTGATGTGTGCGTTCAACTCACAGAGTTTTACCTTTCTTTTCATAGAGCAGTTTGGAAACACTCTATTTGTAAAGTCTGCAGGTGCTTATTTGGACTTCTTTGAGGCCTTCGTTGGAAACGGGATTTCTTCGTATAATGCTAGACAGAAGAATTCTCAGTCACTTCTTTGTGTTGTGTGTATTCAAGTCACAGAGTTGAACCTTCCTTTACACAGAGCAGTTTTGAAAAACTCTTTCTGTGGAATTTGCAAGTGGAGATTTCAAGCGATTTGAGGCTAATCTTTGAAATGGAAATATCTTCGTGTAAAAACTACACAGAATCATTCTCAGAAACTGCTTTGTTATGTGTGCGTTCAGCTCACAGAGTTCCACCTTTCTTTTCATAGAGCAGTTTGGAAAGACTCTGTCTGTAAAGTCTGCAAGTGATTACTTGGACCCCTTTGAGGACTTCGTTGGAAGCGGGATTTTTTCATTTACTGCTAGACAGAAGAATTCTCAGTAAATCCTTTGTGTTGTGTGTATTCAACTCACAGAGTGGAACCTTCCTTTATTCAGAGCAGTTTTGAAACACTCTTTTTGTGGAATTTGCAAGTGGAGATTTCAAGCGAATTCACGCCAATCTTAGACATGGAAACATCTTCGTATTAAAAGTACACAGAGTCATTCGCAGAAACTAGTTTGTGATGTGTGCCTTCAACTCACAGTAGTTTAACCTTTCTTTTCATAGAGCAGTTTGGAAACACTCTATTTGTAAAGTCTGCAAGTGGATATTTGGACGTCTTTGAGGCCTTCGTTGGAAACGGGATTTCTTCATATAACGCTAGACAGAAGAATTCTCAGTAACTTCTTTGTGTTGTGTGTATTCCACTCACAGAGTTGAACCTTTCTTGAGAGAGAGCAGAGTTGAAACACTCTGTTTGTGGAATTTGCTAGTGCAGATTTCAAACGCTTCGAAGACAGTGATAGAAAAGGATATATCTTCGTATTAAAACTAGACAAAATCATTCTCAGAAAACACTTTGTGATGTGTGTGTTCAACTCACAGAGTTTAACCTTTCTTTAATCGAGCAGTTTGGAAATACACTCTTTGTAAGTCTGCAGCTGGATAATTGTCCCTCTATGAGCCCTTCGTTGGAAACGGGATTTCCTCATATAATGCTAGACAGAAGAATTCTCAGTAACTTCTTTGTGTTGTTTGTATTCAACTCACAGATTTGAACCTTCCTTTAGAGAGAGCAGATTTGAAACACTGTGGTTTTGGAATTTGCAAGTGCAGATTACAAGCGCTTCTAGGCCTATGGCAGAAAAGGAAATATCTTCGTATAAAAACTACACAGAATCATTCTCAACAACTACTTTGTGATGTGTGCGTTCAACTCACAGAGTTTAACCTTTCTTTTCATAGAGCAGTTTGGAAACACTCTGTTTGTAAAGTCTGCAGGTGCTTATTTGGACTTCTTTGAGGCCTTCGTTGGAAACGGGATTTCTTCATGTAATGCTAGACAGAAGAATTCTCAGTCACTTCTTTGTGTTGTGTGTATTCAAGTCACAGAGTTGAACCTTCCTTTACACAGAGCAGTTTTGAAAAACTCTTTCTGTGGAATTTGCAAGTGGAGATTTCAAGCTATTTGAGGCTAATCTTTGAAATGGAAATAGCTTCGTGTAAAAACTACACAGAATCATTCTCAGAAACTGCTTTGTTATGTGTGCGTTCAGCTCACAGAGTTCCACCTTTCTTTTCATAGAGCAGTTTGGAAAGACTCTGTCTGTAAAGTCTGCAAGTGATTACTTGGACCCCTTTGAGGACTTCGTTGGAAGCGGGATTTTTTCATTTACTGCTAGACAGAAGAATTCTCAGTAAATCCTTTGTGTTGTGTGTATTCAACTCACAGAGTGGAACCTTCCTTTATTCAGAGCACTTTTGAAACACTCTTTTTGTGGAATTTGCAAGTGGAGATTTCAAGCGAATTCACGCCAATCTTAGACATGGAAACATCTTCGTATTAAAAGTACACAGAGTCATTCGCAGAAACTAGTTTGTAATGTGTGCCTTCAACTCACGGAGTTTAACCTTTCTTTTCATAGAGCAGTTTGGAAACACTCTATTTGTAAAGTCTGCAAGTGGATATTTGGACCTCTTTGAGGCCTTCGTTGGAAACGGGATTTCTTCATATAACGCTAGACAGAAGAATTCTCAGTAACTTCTTTGTGTTGTGTGTATTCAACTCACAGAGTTGAACCTTTCTTGAGAGAGAGCAGAGTTGAAACACTCTGTTTGTGGAATTTGCTAGTGCAGATTTCAAACGCTTCGAAGACAGTGATAGAAAAGGATATATCTTCGTATTAAAACTAGACAAAATCATTCTCAGAAAACACTTTGTGATGTGTGTGTTCAACTCACAGAGTTTAACCTTTCTTTAATCGAGCAGTTTGGAAATACACTCTTTGTAAGTCTGCAGCTGGATAATTGTCCCTCTATGAGCCCTTCGTTGGAAACGGGATTTCCTCTTATAATGCTAGACAGAAGAATTCTCAGTCACTTCTTTGTGTTGTGTGTATTCAAGTCACAGAGTTGAACCTTCCTTTACACAGAGCAGTTTTGAAAAACTCTTTCTGTGGAATTTGCAAGTGGAGATTTCAAGCGATTTGAGGCTAATCTTTGAAATGGAAATATCTTCGTGTAAAAACTACACAGAATCATTCTCAGAAACTGCTTTGTTATGTGTGCGTTCAGCTCGCAGAGTTCCACCTTTCTTTTCATAGAGCAGTTTGGAAAGACTCTGTCTGTAAAGTCTGCAAGTGATTACTTGGACCCCTTTGAGGACTTCGTTGGAAGCGGTATTTTTTCATTTACTGCTAGACAGAAGAATTCTCAGTAAATCCTTCGTGTTGTGTGTATTCAACTCACAGAGTGGAACCTTCCTTTATTCAGAGCAGTTTTGAAACACTCTTTTTGTGGAATTTGCAAGTGGAGATTTCAAGCGAATTCACGCCAATTTTAGACATGGAAACATCTTCGTATTAAAAGTACACAGAGTCATTCGCAGAAACTAGTTTGTGATGTGTGCCTTCAACTCACAGAGTTTAAGCTTTCTTTTCATAGAGCAGTTTGGAAACACTCTATTTGTAAAGTCTGCAAGTGGATATTTGGACCTCTTTGAGGCCTTCGTTGGAAACGGGATTTCTTCATATAACGCTAGACAGAAGAATTCTCTGTAACTTCTTTGTGTTGTGTGTATTCCACTCACAGAGTTGAACCTTTCTTGAGAGAGAGCAGAGTTGAAACACTCTTTCTGTGGAATTTGCTAGTGCAGATTTCAAACGCTTCGAAGACAGTGATAGAAAAGGATATATCTTCGTATTAAAACTAGACAAAATCATTCTCAGAAAACACTTTGTGATATGTGTGTTCAACTCACAGAGTTTAACCTTTCTTTAATCGAGCAGTTTGGAAATGCACTCTTTGTAAGTCTGCAGGTGGATAATTGTCCCTCTATGAGCCCTTCGTTGGAAACGGGATTTCCTCATATAATGCTAGACAGAAGAATTCTCAGTCACTTCTTTGTGTTGTGTGTATTCAAGTCACAGAGTTGAACCTTCCTTTAGACAGAGCAGTTTTGAAAAATTCTTTCTGTGTAATTTGCAAGTGGAGATTTCAAGCGATTTGAGGCTAATCTTTGAAATGGAAATATCTTCGTGTAAAAACTACACAGAATCATTCTCAGAAACTGCTTTGTCATCTGTGCGTTCAGTTCACAGAGTTTCATCTTTCTCTTCATAGAGCAGTTTGGAAAGACTCTGTCTGTAAAGTCTGCAAGTGATTAGTTAGACCCCTTTGAGGCCTTCGTTGGAAGCGGGATTTCTCATTTACTGCTAGACAGAAGAATTCTCAGTAAATCCTTTGTGTTGTGTGTATTCAACTCACAGAGTGGAACCTTCCTTTATTCAGAGCAGTTTTGAAACACTCTTTTTGTGGAATTTGCAAGTGGAGATTTCAAGCGATTTGACGCCAATCTTAGACATGGAAATATCTTCATATTAAAAGTACACAGAGTCATTCGTAGAAACTAGTTTGTGATGTGTGCCTTCAACTCACAGAGTTTAACCTTTCTTTTCATAGAGCAGTTGGGAAACACTCTATTTGTAAAGTCTGCAAGTGGATATTTGGACTTCTTTGAGGCCTTCGTTGGAAACGGGATTTCTTCATATAACGCTAGACAGAAGAATTCTCAGTAACTTCTTTGTGTTGTGTGTATTCAACTCACAGAGTTGAACCTTTCTTTAGAGAGAGCAGAGTTGAAACACTCTGTTTTTGGAATTTGCAAGTGCAGATTTCAAGCGATTCTAGGCCTATGGCAGAAAAGGAAATATCTTCGTATAAAAACTACACAGAATCATTCTCAACAACTACTTTGTGATGTGTGCGTTCAACTCACAGAGTTTAACCTTTCTTTTCATAGAGCAGTTTGGAAACACTCTGTTGGTAAAGCCTGCAAGTGCTTTTTTGGACTTCATTGAGGCCTTCGTTGGAAACGGGATTTCTTCATATAATGCTAGACAGAAGAATTCTCAGTCACTTCTTTGTGTTGTGTGTATTCAAGTCACAGAGATGAACCTTCCTTTAGACAGAGCAGTTTTTAAAAACTCTTTCTGTGGAATTTGCAAGTGGAGATTTCAAGCGATTTGAGGCTAATCTTTGAAATTGAAATATCTTCGTGTAAAAACTACACAGAATAATTCTCAGAAACTGCTTTGTTATGTGTGCGTTCAGCTCACAGAGTTCCACCTTTCTTTTCATAGAGCAGTTTGGAAAGACTCTGTCTGTAAAGTCTGCAAGTGATTACTTGGACCCCTTTGAGGACTTCGTTGGAAGCGGGATTTTTTCATTTACTGCTAGACAGAAGAATTCTCAGTAAATCCTTTGTGTTGTGTGTATTCAACTCACAGAGTGGAACCTTCCTTTATTCAGAGCAGTTTTGAAACACTCTTTTTGTGGAATTTGCAAGTGGAGATTTCAAGCGAATTCACGCCAATCTTAGACATGGAAACATCTTCGTATTAAAAGTACACAGAGTCATTCGCAGAAACTAGTTTGTGATGTGTGCCTTCAACTCACAGAGTTTAACCTTTCTTTTCATAGAGCAGTTTGGAAACACTCTATTTGTAAAGTCTGCAAGTGGATATTTGGACGTCTTTGCGGCCTTCGTTGGAAACGGGATTTCTTCATATAACGCTAGACAGAAGAATTCTCAGTAACTTCTTTGTGTTGTGTGTATTCCACTCACAGAGTTGAACCTTTCTTGAGAGAGAGCAGAGTTGAAACACTCTGTTTGTGGAATTTGCTAGTGCCGATTTCAAACGCTTCGAAGACAGTGATAGAAAAGGATATATCTTCGTATTAAAACTAGACAAAATCATTCTCAGAAAACACTTTGTGATGTGTGTGTTCAACTCACAGAGTTTAACCTTTCTTTAATCGAGCAGTTTGGAAATACACTCTTTGTAAGTCTGCAGCTGGATAATTGTCCCTCTATGAGCCCTTCGTTGGAAACGGGATTTCCTCATATAATGCTAGACAGAAGAATTCTCAGTAACTTCTTTGTGTTGTTTGTATTCAACTCACAGATTTGAACCTTCCTTTAGAGAGAGCAGATTTGAAACACTCTGGTTTTGGAATTTGCAAGTGCAGATTACAAGCGCTTCTAGGCCTATGGCAGAAAAGGAAATATCTTCGTATAAAAACTACACAGAATCATTCTCAACAACTACTGTGTGATGTGTGCGTTCAACTCACAGAGTTTAACCTTTCTTTTCATAGAGCAGTTTGGAAACACTCTGTTTGTAAAGTCTGCAGGTGCTTATTTGGACTTCTTTGAGGTCTTCGTTGGAAACGGGATTTCTTCATATAATGCTAGACAGAAGAATTCTCAGTCACTTCTTTGTGTTGTGTGTATTCAAGTCACAGAGTTGAACCTTCCTTTACACAGAGCAGTTTTGAAAAACTCTTTCTGTGGAATTTGCAAGTGGAGATTTCAAGCGATTTGAGGCTAATCTTTGAAATGGAAATATCTTCGTTTAAAAACTACACAGAATCATTCTCAGAAACTGCTTTGTTATGTGTGCGTTCAGCTCACAGAGTTCCACCTTTCTTTTCATAGAGCAGTTTGGAAAGACTCTGTCTGAAAAGTCTGCAAGTGATTACTTGGACCCCTTTGAGGACTTCGTTGGAAGCGGGATTTTTTCATTTACTGCTAGACAGAAGAATTCTCAGTAAATCCTTTGTGTTGTGTGTATTCAACTCACAGAGTGGAACCTTCCTTTATTCAGAGCACTTTTGAAACACTCTTTTTGTGGAATTTGCAAGTGGAGATTTCAAGCGAATTCACGCCAATCTTAGACATGGAAACATCTTCGTATTAAAAGTACACAGAAGTCATTCGCAGAAACTAGTTTGTGTTGTGTGCCTTCAACTCACAGAGTTTAACCTTTCTTTTCATAGAGCATTTTGGAAACACTCTATTTGTAAAGTCTGCAAGTGGATATTTGGACGTCTTTGAGGCCTTCGTTGGAAACGGGATTTCTTCATGTAACGCTAGACAGAAGAATTCTCAGTAACTTCTTTGTGTTGTGTGTATTCCACTCACAGAGTTGAACCTTTCTTGAGAGAGAGCAGAGTTGAAACACTCTTTTTGTGGAATTTGCCAGTGCAGATTTCAAACGCTTCGAAGACAGTGATAGAAAAGGATATATCTTCGTATTAAAACTAGACAAAATCATTCTCAACAACTACTTTGTGATGTGTGCGTTCAACTCACAGAGTTTAACCTTTCTTTTCATAGAGCAGTTTGGAAACACTCTGTTTGTAAAGCCTGCAAGTGCTTTTTTGGACTTCATTGAGGCCTTCGTTGGAAACGGGATTTCTTCATATAATGCTAGACAGAAGAATTCTCAGTAACTTCTTTGTGTTGTGTGTATTCAAGTCACAGAGTTGAACCTTCTTTTAGACAGAACAGTTTTGAAAAATTCTTTCTGTGGAATTTGCAAGTGGAGATTTCAAGCGATTTGAGGCTAATCTTTGAAATGGAAATATCTTCGTGTCAAAACTACACAGAATCATTCTCAGAAACTGCTTTGTCATCTGTGCGTTCAGTTCACAGAGTTTCACCTTTCTCTTCATAGAGCAGTTTGGAAAGACTCTGTCTGTAAAGTCTGCAAGTGATTAGTTAGACCCCTTTGAGGCCTTCGTTGGAAGCGGGATTTCTCATTTACTGCTAGACAGAAGAATTCTCAGTAAATCCTTTGTGTTGTGTGTATTCAACTCACAGAGTGGAACCTTCCTTTATTCAGAGCAGTTTTGAAAAACACTTTTTGTGGAATTTGCAAGTGGAGATTTCAAGCGATTTGACGCCAATCTTAGACATGGAAATATCTTCATATTAAAAGTACACAGAGTCATTCGTAGAAACTAGTTTGTGATGTGTGCCTTCAACTCACAGAGTTTAACCTTTCTTTTCATAGAGCAGTTTGGAAACACTCTATTTGTAAAGTCTGCAAGTGGATATTTGGACCTCTTTGAGGCCTTCGTTGGAAACGGGATTTCCTCATATAATGCTAGACAGAAGAATTCTCAGTAACTTCTTTGTGTTGTTTGTATTCAACACACAGATTTGAACCTTCCTTTAGAGAGAGCAGATTTGAAACACTCTGTTTTTGGAATTTGCAAGTGCAGATTTCAAGCGCTTCTAGGCCTATGGCAGAAAAGGAAATATCTTCGTATAAAAACTACACAGAATCATTCTCAACAACTACTTTGTGATGTGTGCGTTCAACTCACAGAGTTTAACCTTTCTTTTCATAGAGCAGTTTGGAAACACTCTGTTTGTAAAGCCTGCAAGTGCTTTTTTGGACTTCATTGAGGCCTTCGTTGGAAACGGGATTTCTTCATATAATGCTAGACAGAAGAATTCTCAGTCACTTCTTTGTGTTGTGTGTATTCAAGTCACAGAGTTGAACCTTCCTTTAGACAGAGCAGTTTTGAAAAATTCTTTCTGTGGAGTTTGCAAGTGGAGATTTCAAGCGATTTGAGGCTAATCTTTGAAATGGAAATATCTTCGTGTAAAAACTACACAGAATCATTCTCAGAAACTGCTTTGTCATCTGTGCGTTCAGTTCACACAGTTTCACCTTTCTCTTCATAGAGCAGTTTGGAAAGACTCTGTCTGTAAAGTCTGCAAGTGATTAGTTAGACCCCTTTGAGGCCTTCGTTGGAAGCGGGATTTCTCATTTACTGCTAGACAGAAGAATTCTCAGTAAATCCTTTGTGTTGTGTGTATTCAACTCACAGAGTGGAACCTTCCTTTATTCAGAGCAGTTTTGAAAAACACTTTTTGTGGAATTTGCAAGTGGAGATTTCAAGCGATTTGACGCCAATCTTAGACATGGAAATATCTTCATATTAAAAGTACACAGAGTCATTCGTAGAAACTAGTTTGTGATGTGTGCCTTCAACTCACAGAGTTTAACCTTTCTTTTCATAGAGCAGTTTGGAAACACTCTATTTGTAAAGTCTGCAAGTGCATATTTGGACCTCTTTGAGGTCTTCGTTGGAAACGGGATTTCTTCATACAACGCTAGACAGAAGAATTCTCAGTAACTTCTTTGTGTTGTGTGTATTCAACTCACAGAGTTGAACCTTTCTTTAGAGAGAGCAGAGTTGAAACACTCTGTTTTTGGAATTTGCAAGTGCAGATTTCAAGCGATTCTAGGCCTATGGCAGAAAAGGAAATATCTTCGTATAAAAACTACACAGAATCATTCTCAACAACTACTTTGTGATGTGTGCGTTCAACTCACAGAGTTTAACCTTTCTTTTCATACAGCAGTTTGGAAACACTCTGTTTGTAAAGCCTGCAAGTGCTTTTTTGGACTTCATTGAGGCCTTCGTTGGAAACGGGATTTCTTCATATAATGCTAGACAGAAGAATTCTCAGTCACTTCTTTGTGTTGTGTGTATTCAAGTCACAGAGTTGAACCTTCCTTTAGACAGAGCAGTTTTGAAAAATTCTTTCTGTGGAGTTTGCAAGTGGAGATTTCAAGCGATTTGAGGCTAATCTTTGAAATGGAAATATCTTCGTGTAAAAACTACACAGAATCATTCTCTGAAACTGCTTTGTCATCTGTGCGTTCAGTTCACAGAGTTTCACCTTTCTCTTCATAGAGCAGTTTGGAAAGACTCTGTCTGTAAAGTCTGCAAGTGATTAGTTAGACCCCTTTGAGGCCTTCGTTGGAAGCGGGATTTCTCATTTACTGCTAGACAGAAGAATTCTCAGTAAATCCTTTGTGTTGTGTGTATTCAACTCACAGAGTGGAACCTTCCTTTATTCAGAGCAGTTTTGAAAAACACTTTTTGTGGAATTTGCAAGTGGAGATTTCAAGCGATTTGACGCCAATCTTAGACATGGAAATATCTTCATATTAAAAGTACACAGAGTCATTCGTAGAAACTAGTTTGTGATGTGTGCCTTCAACTCACAGAGTTTAACCTTTCTTTTCATAGAGCAGTTGGGAAACACTCTATTTGTAAAGTCTGCAAGTGGATATTTGGACCTCTTTGAGGCCTTCGTTGGAAATGGGATTTCTTCATACAACACTAGACAGAAGAATTCTCAGTAACTTCTTTGTGTTGTGTGTATTCAACTCACAGAGTTGAACCTTTCTTTAGAGAGAGCAGAGTTGAAACACTCTGTTTTTGGAATTTGCAAGTGCAGATTTCAAGCGATTCTAGGCCTATGGCAGGAAAGGAAATATCTTCGTATGAAAACTACACAGAATCATTCTCAACAACTACTTTGTGATGTGTGCGTTCAACTCACAGAGTTTAACCTTTCTTTTCATAGAGCAGTTTGGAAACACTCTGTTTTTAAAGCCTGCAAGTGCTTTGTTGGACTTCATTGAGGCCTTCGTTGGAAACGGGATTTCTTCATACAACGCTAGACAGAAGAATTCTCAGTCACTTCTTTGTGTTGTGTGTATTCAAGTCACAGAGCTGAACCTTCCTTTACACAGAGCAGTTTTGAAAAACTCTTTCTGTGGAATTTGCAAGTGGAGATTTCAAGCGATTTGAGGCTAATCTTTGAAATGGAAATATCTTCGTGTAAAAACTACACAGAATCATTCTCAGAAACTGCTTTGTTATGTGTGCGTTCAGCTCACAGAGTTCCACCTTTCTTTTCATAGAGCAGTTTGGAAAGACTCTGTCTGTAAAGTCTGCAAGTGATTACTTGGACCCCTTTGAGGACTTCGTTGGAAGCGGGATTTTTTCATTTACTGCTAGACAGAAGAATTCTCAGTAAATCCTTTGTGTTGTGTGTATTCAACTCACAGAGTGGAACCTTCCTTTATTCAGAGCAGTTTTGTAACACTCTTTTTGTGGAATTTGCAAGTGGAGATTTCAAGCGAATTCATGCCAATCTTAGACATGGAAACATCTTCGTATTAAAAGTACACAGAGTCATTCGCAGAAACTAGTTTGTGATGTGTGCCTTCAACTCACAGAGTTTAACCTTTCTTTTCATAGAGCAGTTTGGAAACACTCTATTTGTAAAGTCTGCAAGTGGATATTTGGACCTCTTTGAGGCCTTCGTTGGAAACGGGATTTCTTCTTATAACGCTAGACAGAAGAATTCTCAGTAACTTCTTTGTGTTGTTTGTATTCAACACACAGATTTGAACCTTCCTTTAGAGAGAGCAGATTTGAAACACTCTGTTTTTGGAATTTGCAAGTGCAGATTTCAAGCGCTTCTAGGCCTATGGCAGAAAAGGAAATATCTTCGTATAAAAACTACACAGAATCATTCTCAACAACTACTTTGTGATGTGTGCATTCAACTCACAGAGTTTAACCTTTCTTTTCATAGAGCAGTTTGGAAACACTCTGTTTGGAAAGCCTGCAAGTGCTTTTTTGGACTTCATTGAGGCCTTCGTTGGAAACGGGATTTCTTCATATAATGCTAGACAGAAGAATTCTCAGTCACTTCTTTGTGTTGTGTGTATTCAAGTCACAGAGTTGAACCTTCCTTTAGACAGAGCAGTTTTGAAAAATTCTTTCTGTGGAGTTTGCAAGTGGAGATTTCAAGCTGATTTGAGCCTAATCTTTGAAATGGAAATATCTTCGTGTAAAAACTACACAGAATCATTCTCAGAAACTGCTTTGTCATCTGTGCGTTCAGTTCACAGAGTTTCACCTTTCTCTTCATAGAGCAGTTTGGAAAGACTCTGTCTGTAAAGTCTGCAAGTGATTAGTTAGACCCCTTTGAGGCCTTCGTTGGAAGCGGGATTTCTCATTTACTGCTAGACAGAAGAATTCTCAGTAAATCCTTTGTGTTGTGTGTATTCAACTCACAGAGTGGAACCTTCCTTTATTCAGAGCAGTTTTGAAAAACACTTTTTGTGGAATTTGCAAGTGGAGATTTCAAGCGATTTGACGCCAATCTTAGACATGGAAATATCTTCATATTAAAAGTACACAGAGTCATTCGTAGAAACTAGTTTGTGATGTGTGCCTTCAACTCACAGAGTTTAACCTTTCTTTTCATAGAACAGTTTGGAAACACTCTATTTGTAAAGTCTGCAAGTGGATATTTGGACCTCTTTGAGGCCTTCGTTGGAAACGGGATTTCTTCATACAACGCTAGACAGAAGAATTCTCAGTAACTTCTTTGTGTTGTGTGTATTCAACTCACAGAGTTGAACCTTTCTTTAGAGAGAGCAGAGTTGAAACACTCTGTTTTTGGAATTTGCAACTGCAGATTTCAAGCGAATCTAGGCCTATGGCAGAAAAGGAATTATCTTCGTATAAAAACTACACAGAATCATTCTCAACAACTACTTTGTGATGTGTGCGTTCAACTCACAGAGTTTAACCTTTCTTTTCATAGAGCAGTTTGGAAACACTCTGTTTGTAAAGCCTGCAAGTGCTTTTTTGGACTTCATTGAGGCCTTCGTTGGAAACGGGATTTCGTCATATAATGCTAGACAGAAGAATTCTCAGTCACTTCTTTGTGTTGTGTGTATTCAAGTCACAGAGTTGAACCTTCTTTTAGACAGAGCAGTTTTGAAAAATTCTTTCTGTGGAATTTGCAAGTGGAGATTTCAAGCGACTTGAGGCTAATCTTTGAAATGGAAATATCTTCGTGTCAAAACTACACAGAATCATTCTCAGAAACTGCTTTGTTATCTGTCCGTTCAGTTCAGAGAGTTTCACCTTTCTCTTCATAGAGCAGTTTGGAAAGACTCTGTCTGTAAAGTCTGCAAGTGATTAGTTAGACCCCTTTGAGGCCTTCGTTGGAAGCGGGATTTCTCATTTACTGCTAGACAGAAGAATTATCAGTAAATCCTTTGTGTTGTGTGTATTCAACTCACAGAGTGGAACCTTCCTTTATTCAGAGCAGTTTTGAAAAACACTTTTTGTGGAATTTGCAAGTGGAGATTTCAAGCGATTTGACGCCAATCTTAGACATGGAAAAATCTTCATATTAAAAGTACACAGAATCATTCTCAGAAAATACTTTGTGATGTGTGTGTTCAACTCACAGAGTTTAACCTTTCTTTAATCGAGCAGTTTGGAAATACACTCTTTGTAAGTCTGCAGCTGGATAATTGTCCCTCTATGAGCCCTTCGTTGGAAACGGGATTTCCTCTTATAATGCTAGACAGAAGAATTCTCAGTAACTTCTTTGTGTTGTTTGTATTCAACTCACAGATTTGAACCTTCCTTTAGAGAGAGCAGATTTGAAACACTCTGTTTTTGGAATTTGCAAGTGCAGATTTCAAGCGCTTCTAGGCCTATGGCAGAAAAGGAAATATCTTCGTATAAAAACTACACAGAATCATTCTCAACAACTACTTTGTGATGTGTGCGTTCAACTCACAGAGTTTAACCTTTCTTTTCATAGAGCAGTTTGGAAACACTCTGTTTGTAAAGTCTGCAGGTGCTTATTTGGACTTCTTTGAGGCCTTCGGTTGGAAACGGGATTTCTTCATGTAATGCTAGACAGAAGAATTCTCAGTCACTTCTTTGTGTTGTGTGTATTCAAGTCACAGAGTTGAACCTTCCTTTAGACAGAGCAGTTTTGAAAAATTCTTTCTGTGGAATTTGCAAGTGGAGATTTCAAGCGATTTGAGGCCAATCTTTGAAATGGAAATATCTTCGTGTAAAAACTACACAGAATCATTCTCAGAAACTGCTTTGTCATCTGTGCGTTCAGTTCACAGAGTTTCACCTTTCTCTTCATAGAGCAGTTTGGAAAGACTCTGTCTGTAAAGTCTGCAAGTGATTAGTTAGACCCCTTTGAGGCCTTCGTTGGAAGCGGGATTTCTCATTTACTGCTAGACAGAAGAATTCTCAGTAAATCCTTTGTGTTGTGTGTATTCAACTCACAGAGTGGAACCTTCCTTTATTCAGAGCAGTTTTGAAAAACACTTTTCGTGGAATTTGCAAGTGGAGATTTCAAGCGATTTGACGCCAATCTTAGACATGGAAATATCTTCATATTAAAAGTACACAGAGTCATTCGTAGAAACTAGTTTGTGATGTGTGCCTTCAACTCACAGAGTTTAACCTTTCTTTTCATAGAGCAGTTTGGAAACACTCTATTTGTAAAGTCTGCAAGTGGATATTTGGACCTCTTTGAGGCCTTCGTTGGAAACGGGATTTCTTCATACAACGCTAGACAGAAGAATTCTCAGTAACTTCTTTGTGTTGTGTGTATTCAACTCACAGAGTTGAACCTTTCTTTAGAGAGAGCAGAGTTGAAACACTCTGTTTTTGGAATTTGCAACTGCAGATTTCAAGCGATTCTAGGCCTATGGTAGAAAAGGAAATATCTTCGTATAAAAACTACACAGAGTCATTCGCAGAAACTAGTTTGTGATGTGTGCGTTCAACTCACAGAGTTTAACCTTTCTTTTCATAGAGCAGTTTGGAAACACTCTGTTTGTAAAGTCTGCAGGTGCTTATTTGGACTTCTTTGAGGCCTTCGTTGGAAACGGGATTTCTTCATATAATGCTAGACAGAAGAATTCTCAGTCACTTCTTTGTGTTGTGTGTATTCAAGTCACAGAGTTGAACCTTCCATTACACAGAGCAGTTTTGAAAAACTCTTTCTGTGGAATTTGCAAGTGGAGATGTCAAGCGATTTGAGGCTAATCTTTGAAATGGAAATATCTTCGTGTAAAAACTACACAGAATCATTCTCAGAAACTGCTTTGTTATGTGTGCGTTCAGCTCACAGAGTTCCACCTTTCTTTTCATAGAGCAGTTTGGAAAGACTCTGTCTGTAAAGTCTGCAAGTGATTACTTGGACCCCTTTGAGGACTTCGTTGGAAGCGGGATTTTTTCATTTACTGCTAGACAGAAGAATTCTCAGTAAATCCTTTGTGTTGTGTGTATTCAACTCACAGAGTGGAACCTTTCTCTATTCAGAGCAGTTTTGAAACATTCTTTTTGTGGAATTTGCAGGTGGAGATTTCAAGCGAATTTACGCCAATCTTAGACATGGAAACATCTTCGTATTAAAAGTACACAGAGTCATTCGCAGAAACTAGTTTGTGATGTGTGCCTTCAACTCACGGAGTTTAACCTTTCTTTTCATAGAGCAGTTTGGAAACACTCTATTTGTAAAGTCTGCAAGTGGATATTTGGACCTCTTTGAGGCCTTCGTTGGAAACGGGATTTCTTCATATAACGCTAGACAGAAGAATTCTCAGTCACTTCTTTGTGTTGTGTGTATTCAAGTCACAGAGTTGAACCTTCCTTTACACAGAGCAGTTTTGAAAAACTCTTTCTGTGGAATTTGCAAGTGGAGATTTCAAGCGATTTGAGGCTAATCTTTGAAATGGAAATAGCTTCGTGTAAAAACTACACAGAATCATTCTCAGAAACTGCTTTGTTATGTGTGCGTTCAGCTCACAGAGTTCCACCTTTCTTTTCATAGAGCAGTTTGGAAAGACTCTGTCTGTAAAGTCTGCAAGTGATTACTTGGACCCCTTTGAGGACTTCGTTGGAAGCGGGATTTTTTCATTTACTGCTAGACAGAAGAATTCTCAGTAAATCCTTTGTGTTGTGTGTATTCAACTCACAGAGTGGAACCTTCCTTTATTCAGAGCAGTTTTGAAACACTCTTTTTGTGGAATTTGCAAGTGGAGATTTCAAGCGAATTCACGCCAATCTTAGACATGGAAACATCTTCGTATAAAAGTACACAGAGTCATTTGCAGAAACTAGTTTGTGATGTGTGCCTTCAACTCACGGAGTTTAACCTTTCTTTTCATAGAGCAGTTTGGAAACACTCTATTTGTAAAGTCTGCAAGTGGATATTTGGACCTCTTTGAGGCCTTCGTTGGAAACGGGATTTCTTCATATAACGCTAGACAGAAGAATTCTCAGTAACTTCTTTGTGTTGTGTGTATTCAAGTCACAGAGTTGAACCTTCCTTTACACAGAGCAGTTTTGAAAAACTCTTTCTGTGGAATTTGCAAGTGGAGATTTCAAGCGATTTGAGGCTAATCTTTGAAATGGAAATAGCTTCGTGTAAAAACTACACAGAATCATTCTCAGAAACTGCTTTGTTATGTGTGCGTTCAGCTCACAGAGTTCCACCTTTCTTTTCATAGAGCAGTTTGGAAAGACTCTGTCTGTAAAGTCTGCAAGTGATTACTTGGACCCCTTTGAGGACTTCGTTGGAAGCGGGATTTTTTCATTTACTGCTAGACAGAAGAATTCTCAGTAAATCCTTTGTGTTGTGTGTATTCAACTCACAGAGTGGAACCTTCCTTTATTCAGAGCAGTTTTGAAACACTCTTTTTGTGGAATTTGCAAGTGGAGATTTCAAGCGAATTCACGCCAATCTTAGACATGGAAACATCTTCGTATTAAAAGTACACAGAGTCATTCGCAGAAACTAGTTTGTGATGTGTGCCTTCAACTCACGGAGTTTAACCTTTCTTTTCATAGAGCAGTTTGGAAACACTCTATTTGTTAAGTCTGCAAGTGGATATTTGGACCTCTTTGAGGCCTTCGTTGGAACCGGGATTTCTTCATATAACGCTAGACAGAAGAATTCTCAGTAACTTCTTTGTGTTGTTTGTATTCAACACACAGATTTGAACCTTCCTTTAGAGAGAGCAGATTTGAAACACTCTGTTTTTGGAATTTGCAAGTGCAGATTTCAAGCGCTTCTAGGCCTATGGCAGAAAAGGAAATATCTTCGTATAAAAACTACACAGAATCATTCTCAACAACTACTTTGTGATGTGTGCGTTCATCTCACAGAGTTTAACCTTTCTTTTCATAGAGCAGTTTGGAAACACTCTGTTTGTAAAGCCTGCAAGTGCTTTTTTGGACTTCATTGAGGCCTTCGTTGGAAACGGGATTTCTTCATATAATGCTAGACAGAAGAATTCTCAGTCACTTCTTTGTGTTGTGTGTATTCAAGTCACAGAGTTGAACCTTCCTTTAGACAGAGCAGTTTTGAAAAATTCTTTCTGTGGAGTTTGCAAGTGGAGATTTCAAGCGATTTGAGGCTAATCTTTGAAATGGAAATATCTTCGTGTAAAAACTACACAGAATCATTCTCAGAAACTGCTTTGTCATCTGTGCGTTCAGTTCACACAGTTTCACCTTTCTCTTCATAGAGCAGTTTGGAAAGACTCTGTCTGTAAAGTCTGCAAGTGATTAGTTAGACCCCTTTGAGGCCTTCGTTGGAAGCGGGATTTCTCATTTACTGCTAGACAGAAGAATTCTCAGTAAATCCTTTGTGTTGTGTGTATTCAACTCACAGAGTGGAACCTTCCTTTATTCAGAGCAGTTTTGAAACACTCTTTTTGTGGAATTTGCAAGTGGAGATTTCAAGCGAATTCACGCCAATCTTAGACATGGAAACATCTTCGTATTAAAAGTACACAGAGTCATTCGCAGAAACTAGTTTGTGATGTGTGCCTTCAACTCACAGAGTTTAACCTTTCTTTTCATAGAGCAGTTTGGAAACACTCTATTTGTAAAGTCTGCAAGTGGATATTTGGACCTCTTTGAGGCCTTCGTTGGAAACGGGATTTCTTCATATAACGCTAGACAGAAGAATTCTCAGTAACTTCTTTGTGTTGTGTGTATTCCACTCACAGAGTTGAACCTTTCTTGAGAGAGAGCAGAGTTGAAACACTCTGTTTGTGGAATTTGCCAGTGCAGATTTCAAACGCTTCGAAGACAGTGATAGAAAAGGATATATCTTCGTATTAAAACTAGACAAAATCATTCTCAGAAAACACTTTGTGATGTGTGTGTTCAACTCACAGAGTTTAACCTTCCTTTAATCGAGCAGTTTGGAAATACACTCTTTGTAAGTCTGCAGCTGGATAATTGTCCCTCTATGAGCCCTTCGTTGGAAACGGGATTTCCTCATATAATGCTAGACAGAAGAATCCTCAGTAACTTCTTTGTGTTGTTTGTATTCAACTCACAGATTTGAACCTTCCTTTAGAGAGAGCAGATTTGAAACACTCTGGTTTTGGAATTTGCAAGTGCAGATTACAAGCGCTTCTAGGCCTATGGCAGAAAAGGAAATATCTTCATATAAAAACTACACAGAATCATTCTCAACAACTACTTTGTGATGTGTGCGTTCAACTCACAGAGTTTAACCTTTCTTTTCATAGAGCAGTTTGGAAACACTCTGTTTGTAAAGTCTGCAGGTGCTTATTTGGACTTCTTTGAGGCCTTCGTTGGAAACGGGATTTCTTCATATAATGCTAGACAGAAGAATTCTCAGTCACTTCTTTGTGTTGTGTGTATTCAAGTCACAGAGTTGAACCTTCCTTTACACAGAGCAGTTTTGAAAAACTCTTTCTGTGGAATTTGCAAGTGGAGATTTCAAGCGATTTGAGGCTAATCTTTGAAATGGAAATATCTTCGTGTAAAAACTACACAGAATCATTCTCAGAAACTGCTTTGTTATGTGTGCGTTCAGCTCACAGAGTTCCACCTTTCTTTTCATAGAGCAGTTTGGAAAGACTCTGTCTGTAAAGTCTGCAAGTGATTACTTGGACCCCTTTGAGGACTTCGTTGGAAGCGGGATTTTTTCATTTACTGCTAGACAGAAGAATTCTCAGTAAATCCTTTGTGTTGTGTGTATTCAACTCACAGAGTGGAACCTTCCTTTATTCAGAGCAGTTTTGAAACACTCTTTGTGGAATTTGCAAGTGGAGATTTCAAGCGAATTCACGCCAATCTTAGACATGGAAATATCTTCGTATTAAAAGTACACAGAGTCATTCGCAGAAACTAGTTTGTGATGTGTGCCTTCAACTCACAGAGTTTAACCTTTCTTTTCATAGAGCAGTTTGGAAACACTCTATTTGTAAAGTCTGCAAGTGGATATTTGGACCTCTTTGAGGCCTTCGTTGGAAACGGGATTTCTTCATATAACGCTAGACAGAAGAATTCTCAGTAACTTCTTTGTGTTGTGTGTATTCCACTCACAGAGTTGAACCTTTCTTGAGAGAGAGCAGAGTTGAAACACTCTTTTTGTGGAATTTGCTAGTGCAGATTTCAAACGCTTCGAAGACAGTGATAGAAAAGGATATATCTTCGTATTAAAACTAGACAAAATCATTCTCAGAAAACACTTTGTGATGTGTGTGTTCAACTCACAGAGTTTAACCTTTCTTTAATCGAGCAGTTTGGAAATACACTCTTTGTAAGTCTGCAGCTGGATAATTGTCCCTCTATGAGCCCTTCGTTGGAAACGGGATTTCCTCATATAATGCTAGACAGAAGAACTCTCAGTAACTTCTTTGTGTTGTTTGTATTCAACTCACAGATTTGAACCTTCCTTTGGAGAGAGCAGATTTGAAACACTCTGTTTTTGGAATTTGCAAGTGCAGATTGCAAGCGCTTCTAGGCCTATGGCAGAAAAGGAAATATCTTCGTATAAAAACTACACAGAATCATTCTCAACAACTACTTTGTGATGTGTGCGTTCAGCTCACAGAGTTTAACCTTTTTTTTCATAGAGCAGTTTGGAAACACTCTGTTTGTAAAGTCTGCAGGTGCTTATTTGGACTTCTTTGAGGCCTTCGTTGGAAACGGGATTTCTTCATATAATGCTAGACAGAAGAATTCTCAGTCACTTCTTTGTGTTGTGTGTATTCAAGTCACAGAGTTGAACCTTCCTTTACACAGAGCAGTTTTGAAAAACTCTTTCTGTGGAATTTGCAAGTGGAGATTTCAAGCGATTTGAGGCTAATCTTTGAAATGGAAATAGCTTCGTGTAAAAACTACACAGAATCATTCTCAGAAACTGCTTTGTTATGTGTGCGTTCAGCTCACAGAGTTCCACCTTTCTTTTCATAGAGCAGTTTGGAAAGACTCTGTCTGTAAAGTCTGCAAGTGATTACTTGGACCCCTTTGAGGACTTCGTTGGAAGCGGGATTTTTTCATTTATTGCCAGACAGAAGAATTCTCAGTAAATCCTTTGTGTTGTGTGTATTCAACTCACAGAGTGGAACCTTCCTTTATTCAGAGCAGTTTTGAAACACTCTTTTTGTGGAATTTGCAAGTGGAGATTTCAAGCGAATTCACGCCAATCTTAGACATGGAAACATCTTCGTATTAAAAGTACACAGAGTCATTCGCAGAAACTAGTTTGTGATGTGTGCCTTCAACTCACGGAGTTTAACCTTTCTTTTCATAGAGCAGTTTGGAAACACTCTATTTGTAAAGTCTGCAAGTGGATATTTGGACCTCTTTGAGGCCTTCGTTGGAAACGGGATTTCTTCATATAACGCTAGACAGAAGAATTCTCAGTAACTTCTTTGTGTTGTGTGTATTCCACTCACAGATTTGAACCTTTCTTGAGAGAGAGCAGAGTTGAAACACTCTGTTTGTGGAATTTGCTAGTGCAGATTTCAAACGCTTCGAAGACAGTGATAGAAAAGGATATATCTTCGTATTAAAACTAGACAAAATCATTCTCAGAAAACACTTTGTGATGTGTGTGTTCAACTCACAGAGTTTAACCTTTCTTTAATCGAGCAGTTTGGAAATACACTCTTTGTAAGTCTGCAGCTGGATAATTGTCCCTCTAGGAGCCCTTCGTTGGAAACGGGATTTCCTCTTATAATGCTAGACAGAAGAATTCTCAGTCACTTCTTTGTGTTGTGTGTATTCAAGTCACAGAGTTGAACCTTCCTTTACACAGAGCAGTTTTGAAAAACTCTTTCTGTGGAATTTGCAAGTGGAGATTTCAAGCGATTTGAGGCTAATCTTTGAAATGGAAATATCTTCGTGTAAAAACTACACAGAATCATTGTCAGAAACTGCTTTGTTATGTGTGCGTTCAGCTCACAGAGTTCCACCTTTCTTTTCATAGAGCAGTTTGGAAAGACTCTGTCTGTAAAGTCTGCAAGTGATTACTTGGACCCCTTTGAGGACTTCGTTGGAAGCGGGATTTTTTCATTTACTGCTAGACAGAAGAATTCTCAGTAAATCCTTTGTGTTGTGTGTATTCAACTCACAGAGTGGAACCTTCCTTTATTCAGAGCAGTTTTGAAACACTCTTTTTGTGGAATTTGCAAGTGGAGATTTCAAGCGAATTCACGCCAATCTTAGACATGGAAACATCTTCGTATTAAAAGTACACAGAGTCATTCGCAGAAACTAGTTTGTGATGTGTGCCTTCAACTCACAGAGTTTAACCTTTCTTTTCATAGAGCAGTTTGGAAACACTCTATTTGTAAAGTCTGCAAGTGGATATTTGGACCTCTTTGAGGCCTTCGTTGGAAACGGGATTTCTTCATATAACGCTAGACAGAAGAATTCTCAGTAACTTCTTTGTGTTGTGTGTATTCCACTCACAGAGTTGAACCTTTCTTGAGAGAGAGCAGAGTTGAAACACTCTGTTTGTGGAATTTGCTAGTGCAGATTTCAAACGCTTCGAAGACAGTGATAGAAAAGGATATATCTTCGTATTAAAACTAGACAAAATCATTCTCAGAAAACACTTTGTGATGTGTGTGTTCAACTCACAGAGTTTAACCTTTCTTTAATCGAGCAGTTTGGAAATACACTCTTTGTAAGTCTGCAGCTGGATAATTGTCCCTCTATGAGCCCTTCCTTGGAAACGGGATTTCCTCTTATAATGCTAGACAGAAGAATTCTCAGTCACTTCTTTGTGTTGTGTGTATTCAAGTCACAGAGTTGAACCTTCCTTTAGACAGAGCAGTTTTGAAAAATTCTTTCTGTGGAATTTGCAAGTGGAGATTTCAAGCGATTTGAGGCTAATTCTTTGAAATGGAAATATCTTCGTGTAAAAACTACACAGAATCATTCTCAGAAACTGCTTTGTCATCTGTGCGTTCAGTTCACAGAGTTTCACCTTTCTCTTCATAGAGCAGTTTGGAAAGACTCTGTCTGTAAAGTCTGCAATTGATTAGTTAGACCCCTTTGAGGCCTTCGTTGGAAGCGGGATTTCTCATTAACTGCTAGACAGAAGAATTCTCAGTAAATCCTTTGTGTTGTGTGTATTCAACTCACAGAGTGGAACCTTCCTTTAGAGAGAGCAGAGTTGAAACACTCTGTTTTTGGAATTTGCAAGTGCAGATTTCAAGCGATTCTAGGCCTATGGCAGAAAAGGAAATATCTTCGTATAAAAACTACACAGAATCATTCTCAACAACTACTTTGTGATGTGTGCGTTCAACTCACAAAGTTTAACCTTTCTTTTCATAGAGAAGTTTGGAAACACTCTGTTTGTAAAGCCTGCAAGTGCTTTTTTGGACTTCATTGAGGCCTTCGTTGGAAACGGGATTTCTTCATATAATGCAAGACAGAAGAATTCTCAGTAAATCCTTTGTGTTGTGTTTATTCAACTCACAGAGTGGAACTTTCCTTTATTCAGAGCAGTTTTGAAACACTCTTTTTGTGGAATTTGCAAGTGGAGATTTCAAGCGATTTGACGCCAATCTTAGACATGGAAATATCTTCATATTAAAAGTACACAGAGTCATTCGTAGAAACTAGTTTGTGATGTGTGCCTTCAACTCACAGAGTTTAACCTTTCTTTTCATAGAGCAGTTTGGAAACACTCTATTTGTAAAGTCTGCAAGTGGATATTTGGACCTCTTTGAGGCCTTCGTTGGAAACGGGATTTCTTCATACAACGCTAGACAGAAGAATTCTCAGTAACTTCTTTGTGTTGTGTGTATTTAACTCACAGAGTTGAACCTTTCTTTAGAGAGAGCAGAGTTGAAACACTCTGTTTTTGGAATTTGCAACTGCAGATTTCAAGCGATTCTAGGCCTATGGCAGAAAAGGAAATATCTTCGTATAAAAACTACACAGAATCATTCTCAACAACTACTTTGTGATGTGTGCGTTCAACTCACAGAGTTTAACCTTTCTTTTCATAGAGCAGTTTGGAAACACTCTGTTTGTAAAGCCTGCAAGTGCTTTTTTGGACTTCATTGAGGCCTTCGTTGGAAACGGGATTTCTTCATATAATGCTAGACAGAAGAATTCTCAGTCACTTCTTTGTGTTGTGTGTATTCAAGTCACAGAGTTGAACCTTCCTTTAGACAGAGCAGTTTTGAAAAATTCTTTCTGTGGAGTTTGCAAGTGGAGATTTCAAGCGATTTGAGGCTAATCTTTGAAATGGAAATATCTTCGTGTAAAAACTACACAGAATCATTCTCAGAAACTGCTTTGTCATCTGTGCGTTCAGTTCACAGAGTTTCACCTTTCTCTTCATAGAGCAGTTTGGAAAGACTCTGTCTGTAAAGTCTGCAAGTGATTAGTTAGACCCCTTTGAGGCCTTCGTTGGAAGCGGGATTTCTCATTTACTGCTAGACAGAAGAATTCTCAGTAAATCCTTTGTGTTGCGTGTATTCAACTCACAGAGTGGAACCTTCCTTTATTCAGAGCACTTTTGAAAAACACTTTTTGTGGAATTTGCAAGTGGAGATTTCAAGCGATTTGACGCCAATCTTAGACATGGAAATATCTTCATATTAAAAGTACACAGAGTCATTCGTAGAAACTAGTTTGTGATGTGTGCCTTCAACTCACAGAGTTTAACCTTTCTTTTCATAGAGCAGTTTGGAAACACTCTATTTGTAAAGTCTGCAAGTGGATATTTGGACCTCTTTGAGGCCTTCGTTGGAAACGGGATTTCTTCATACAACGCTAGACAGAAGAATTCTCAGTAACTTCTTTGTGTTGTGTGTATTCAACTCACAGAGTTGAAACTTTCTTTAGAGAGAGCAGAGTTGAAACACTCTGTTTTTGGAATTTGCAACTGCAGATTTCAAGCGATTCTAGGCCTATGGCAGAAAAGGAAATATCTTCGTATAAAAACTACACAGAATCATTCTCAGAAAACTCTTTGTGATGTGTGTGTTCAACTCACAGAGTTTAACCTTTCTTTTCATAGAGCAGTTTGGAAACACTCTGTTTGTAAAGCCTGCAAGTGCTTTTTTGGACTTCATTGAGGCCTTCGTTGGAAACGCGATTTCTTCATACAACGCTAGTCAGAAGAATTCTCAGTCACTTCTTTGTGTTGTGTGTATTCAAGTCACAGAGTTGAACCTTCCTTTAGACAGAGCAGTTTTGAAAAATTCTTTCTGTGGAGTTTGCAAGTGGAGATTTCAAGCGATTTGAGGCTAATCTTTGAAATGGAAATATCTTCGTGTAAAAACTACACAGAATCATTCTCAGAAACTGCTTTGTCATCAGTGCGTTCAGTTCACAGAGTTTCACCTTTCTCTTCATAGAGCAGTTTGGAAAGACTCTGTCTGTAAAGTCTGCAAGTGATTAGTTAGACCCCTTTGAGGCCTTCGTTGAAAGCGGGATTTCTCATTTACTGCTAGACAGAAGAATTCTCAGTAAATCCTTTGTGTTGTGTGTATTCAACTCACAGAGTGGAACCTTCCTTTATTCAGAGCAGTTTTGAAACACTCTTTTTGTGGAATTTGCAAGTGGAGATTTCAAGCGAATTCACGCCAATCTTAGACATGGAAACATCTTCGTATTAAAAGTACACAGAGTCATTCGCAGAAACTAGTTTGTGATGTGTGCCTTCAACTCACAGAGTTTAAGCTTTCTTTTCATAGAGCAGTTTGGAAACACTCTATTTGTATAGTCTGCAAGTGGATATTTGGACCTCTTTGAGGCCTTCGTTGGAAACGGGATTTCTTCATATAACGCTAGACAGAAGAATTCTCTGTAACTTCTTTGTGTTGTGTGTATTCCACTCACAGAGTTGAACCTTTCTTGAGAGAGAGCAGAGTTGAAACACTCTTTCTGTGGAATTTGCTAGTGCAGATTTCAAACGCTTCGAAGACAGTGATAGAAAAGGATATATCTTCGTATTAAAACTAGACAAAATCATTCTCAGAAAACACTTTGTGATGTGTGTGTTCAACTCACAGAGTTTAACCTTTCTTTAATCGAGCAGTTTGGAAATGCACTCTTTGTAAGTCTGCAGGTGGATAATTGTCCCTCTATGAGCCCTTCGTTGGAAACGGGTTTTCCTCATATAATGCTAGACAGAAGTATTCTCAGTAACTTCTTTGTGTTGTTTGTATTCAACTCACAGATTTGAAACTTCCTTTAGAGAGAGCAGATTTGAAACACTCTGTTTTTGGAATTTGCAAGTGCAGATTGCAAGCGCTTCTAGGCCTATGGCAGAAAAGGAAATATCTTCGTATAAAAACTACACAGAATCATTCTCAACAACTACTTTGTGATGTGTGCGTTCAACTCACAGAGTTTAACCTTTCTTTTCATAGAGCAGTTTGGAAACACTCTGTTTGTAAAGCCTGCAAGTGCTTTTATGGACTTCATTGAGGCCTTCGTTGGAAACGGGATTTCTTCATATAATGCTAGACAGAAGAATTCTCAGTCACTTCTTTGTGTTGTGTGTATTCAAGTCACAGAGTTGAACCTTCCTTTAGACAGAGCAGTTTTGAAAAATTCTTTCTGTGGAGTTTGCAAGTGGAGATTTCAAGCGATTTGAGGCTAATCTTTGAAATGGAAATATCTTCGTGTAAAAACTACACAGAATCATTCTCAGAAACTGCTTTGTCATCTGTGCGTTCAGTTCACAGAGTTTCACCTTTCTCTTCATAGAGCAGTTTGGAAAGACTCTGTCTGTAAAGTCTGCAAGTGATTAGTTAGACCCCTTTGAGGCCTTCGTTGGAAGCGGGATTTCTCATTTACTGCTAGACAGAAGAATTCTCAGTAAATCCTTTGTGTTGTGTGTATTCAACTCACAGAGTGGAACCTTCCTTTATTCAGAGCAGTTTTGAAAAACACTTTTTGTGGAATTTGCAAGTGGAGATTTCAAGCGATTTGACGCCAATCTTAGACATGGAAATGTCTTCATATTAAAAGTACACAGAGTCATTCGTAGAAACTAGTTTGTGATGTGTGCCTTCAACTCACAGAGTTTAACCTTTCTTTTCATAGAGCAGTTGGGAAACACTCTATTTGTAAAGTCTGCAAGTGGATATTTGGACCTCTTTGAGGCCTTCGTTGGAAACGGGATTTCTTCATATAACGCTAGACAGAAGAATTCTCAGTAACTTCTTTGTGTTGTGTGTATTCAACTCACAGAGTTGAACCTTTCTTTAGAGGGAGCAGAGGTGAAACACTCTTTTTGTGGAATTTGCTAGTGTAGATTTCAAACGCTTCGAAGACAGTGATAGAAAAGGATATATCTTCGTATTAAAAGTAGACAAAATCATTCTCAGAAAACTCTTTGTGATGTGTGTGTTCAACTCACAGAGTTTAACCTTTCTTTAA
Source organism: Homo sapiens (assembly GCF_000001405.40). Lineage (NCBI taxonomy): Eukaryota > Metazoa > Chordata > Mammalia > Primates > Hominidae > Homo > Homo sapiens. Next base: position 40,662,051 of record NC_000010.11, read on the forward strand.
TCGAGCAGTTTGGAAATACACTCTTTGTAAGTCTGCAGGTGGATAATTGGCCCTCTTTGAGCCCTTCGTTGGAAACGGGATTTCCTCATATAATGCTAGACAGAAGAATTCTCAGTAACTTCTTTGTGTTGTTTGTATTCAACACACAGATTTGAACCTTCCTTTAGAGAGAGCAGATTTGAAACACTCTGTTTTTGGAATTTGCAAGTGCAGATTTCAAGCGCTTCTAGGCCTATGGCAGAAAAGGAAATATCTTCGTATAAAAACTACACAGAATCATTCTCAACAACTACTTTGTGATGTGTGCGTTCAACTCACAGAGTTTAACCTTTCTTTTCATAGAGCAGTTTGGAAACACTCTGTTTGTAAAGCCTGCAAGTGCTTTTTTGGACTTCATTGAGGCCTTCGTTGGAAACGGGATTTCTTCATATAATGCTAGAGAGAAGAATTCTCAGTCACTTCTTTGTGTTGTGTGTATTCAAGTCACAGAGTTGAACCTTCCTTTAGACAGAGCAGTTTTGAAAAATTCTTTCTGTGGAGTTTGCAAGTGGAGATTTCAAGCGATTTGAGGCTAATCTTTGAAATGGAAATATCTTCGTGTAAAAACTACACAGAATCATTCTCAGAAACTGCTTTGTCATCTGTGCGTTCAGTTCACAGAGTTTCACCTTTCTCTTCATAGAGCAGTTTGGAAAGACTCTGTCTGTAAAGTCTGCAAGTGATTAGTTAGACCCCTTTGAGGTCTTCGTTGGAAGCGGGATTTCTCATTTACTGCTAGACAGAAGAATTCTCAGTAAATCCTTTGTGTTGTGTGTATTCAACTCACAGAGTGGAACCTTCCTTTATTCAGAGCAGTTTTGAAAAACACTTTTTGTGGAATTTGCAAGTGGAGATTTCAAGCGATTTGACGCCAATCTTAGACATGGAAATATCTTCATATTAAAAGTACACAGAATCATTCGTAGAAACTAGATTGTGATGTGTGCCTTCAACTCACAGAGTTTAACCTTTCTTTTCATAGAGCAGTTCGGAAACATTCTATTTGTAAAGTCTGCAAGTGGATATTTGGACCTCTTTGAGGCCTTCGTTGGAAAAGGGATTTCTTCATATAACACTAGACAGAAGAATTCTCAGTAACTTCTTTGTGTTGTGTGTATTCAACTCACAGAGTTGAACCTTTCTTTAGAGAGAGCAGAGTTGAAACACTCTTTTTGTGGAATTTGCTAGTGCAGATTTCAAACGCTTCGAAGACAGTGATAGAAAAGGATATATCTTCGTATTAAAACTAGACAAAATCATTCTCAGAAAACTCTTTGTGATGTGTGTGTTCAACTCACAGAGTTTAACCTTTCTTTAATCGAGCAGTTTGGAAATACACTCTTTGTAAGTCTGCAGGTGGATATTTGGCCCTCTTTGAGCCCTTCGTTGGAAACGGGATTTCCTCATATAATGCTAGACAGAAGAATTCTCAGTAACTTCTTTGTGTTGTTTGTATTCAACACACAGATTTGAACCTTCCTTTAGAGAGAGCAGATTTGAAACACTCTGTTTTTGGAATTTGCAAGTGCAGATTTCAAGCGCTTTCTAGGCCTATGGCAGAAAAGGAAATATCTTCGTATAAAAACTACACAGAATCATTCTCAACAACTACTTTGTGATGTGTGCGTTCAACTCACAGAGTTTAACCTTTCTTTTCATAGAGCAGTTTGGAAACACTCTGTTTGTAAATCCTGCAAGTGCTTTTTTGGACTTCATTGAGGCCTTCGTTGGAAACGGGATTTCTTCATGTAATGCTAGACAGAAGAATTCTCAGTCACTTCTTTGTGTTGTGTGTATTCAACTCACAGAGTTGAACCTTCCTTTAGACAGAGCAGTTTTGAAAAATTCTTTCTGTGGAATTTGCAAGTGGAGATTTCATGCGATTTGAGGCTAATCTTTGAAATGGAAATATCTTCGTGTAAAAACTAAACAGAATCATTCTCAGAAACTGCTTTGTCATCTGTGCGTTCAGTTCACAGAGTTTCACCTTTCTCTTCATAGAGCAGTTTGGAAAGACTCTGTCTGTAAAGTCTGCAAGTGATTAGTTAGACCCCTTTGAGGCCTTCGTTGGAAGCGGGATTTCTCATTTACTGCTAGACAGAAGAATTCTCAGTAAATCCTTTGTGTTGTGTGTATTCAACTCACAGAGTGGAACCTTCCTTTATTCAGAGCAGTTTTGAAACACTCTTTTTGTGGAATTTGCAAGTGGAGATTTCAAGCGATTTGACGCCAATCTTAGACATGGAAATATCTTCACATTAAAAGTACACAGAGTCATTCGTAGAAACTAGTTTGTGATGTGTGCCTTCAACTCACAGAGTTTAACCTTTCTTTTCATAGAGCAGTTGGGAAACACTCTATTTGTAAAGTCTGCAAGTGGATATTTGGACCTCTTTGAGGCCTTCGTTGGAAACGGGATTTCTTCATATAACGCTAGACAGAAGAATTCTCAGTAACTTCTTTGTGTTGTGTGTATTCAACTCACAGAGTTGAACCTTTCTTTAGAGGGAGCAGAGGTGAAACACTCTTTTTGTGGAATTTGCTAGTGTAGATTTCAAACGCTTCGAAGACAGTGATAGAAAAGGATATATCTTCGTATTAAAAGTAGACAAAATCATTCTCAGAAAACTCTTTGTGATGTGTGTGTTCAACTCACAGAGTTTAACCTTTCTTTAATCGAGCAGTTTGGAAATACACTCTTTGTAATTCTGCAGGTGGATATTTGGCCCTCTTTGAGCCCTTCGTTGGAAACGGGATTTCCTCATATAATGCTAGACAGAAGAATTCTCAGTAACTTCTTTGTGTTGTTTGTATTCAACACACAGATTTGAACCTTCCTTTAGAGAGAGCAGATTTGAAACACTCTGTTTTTGGAATTTGCAAGTGCAGATTTCAAGCGCTTCTAGGCCTATGGCAGAAAAGGAAATATCTTCGTATAAAAACTACACAGAATCATTCTCAACAACTACTTTGTGATGTGTGCGTTCAGCTCACAGAGTTTAACCTTTCTTTTCATAGAGCAATTTGGAAACACTCTGTTTGTAAAGTCTGCAGGTGCTTATTTGGACTTCTTTGAGGCCTTCGTTGGAAACGGGATTTCTTCATATAATGCTAGACAGAAGAATTCTCAGTCACTTCTTTGTGTTGTGTGTATTCAAGTCACAGAGTTGAACCTTCCTTTAGACAGAGCAGTTTTGAAAAATTCTTTCTGTGGAGTTTGCAAGTGGAGATTTCAAGCGATTTGAGGCTAATCTTTGAAATGGAAATATCTTCGTGTAAAAACTACACAGAATCATTCTCAGAAACTGCTTTGTCATCTGTGCGTTCAGTTCACAGAGTTTCACCTTTCTCTTCATAGAGCAGTTTGGAAAGACTCTGTCTGTAAAGTCTGCAAGTGATTAGTTAGACCCCTTTGAGGCCTTCGTTGGAAGCGGGATTTCTCATTTACTGCTAGACAGAAGAATTCTCAGTAAATCCTTTGTGTTGTGTGTATTCAACTCACAGAGTGGAACCTTCCTTTATTCAGAGCAGTTTTGAAAAACACTTTTCGTGGAATTTGCAAGTGGAGATTTCAAGCGATTTGACGCCAATACTTAGACATGGAAATATCTTCATATTAAAAGTACACAGAGTCATTCGTAGAAACTAGTTTGTGATGTGTGCCTTCAACTCACAGAGTTTAACCTTTCTTTTCATAGAGCAGTTGGGAAACACTCTACTTGTAAAGTCTGCAAGTGGATATTTGGACCTCTTTGAGGCCTTCGTTGGAAACGGGATTTCTTCATATAACGCTAGACAGAAGAATTCTCAGTAACTTCTTTGTGTTGTGTGTATTCCACTCACAGAGTTGAACCTTTCTTGAGAGAGAGCAGAGTTGAAACACTCTTTCTGTGGAATTTGCTAGTGCAGATTTCAAACGCTTCGAAGACAGTGATAGAAAAGGATATATCTTCGTATTAAAACTAGACAAAATCATTCTCAGAAAACACTTTGTGATGTGTGTGTTCAACTCACAGAGTTTAACCTTTCTTTAATCGAGCAGTTTGGAAATACACTCTTTGTAAGTCTGCAGCTGGATAATTGTCCCTCTATGAGCCCTTCGTTGGAAACGGGATTTCCTCTTATAATGCTAGACAGAAGAATTCTCAGTCACTTCTTTGTGTTGTGTGTATTCAAGTCACAGAGTTGAACCTTCCTTTAGACAGAGCAGTTTTGAAAAGTTCTTTCTGTGTAATTTGCAAGTGGAGATTTCAAGCGATTTGAGGCTAATCTTTGAAATGGAAATATCTTCGTGTAAAAACTACACAGAATCATTCTCAGAAACTGCTTTGTCATCTGTGCGTTCAGTTCACAGAGTTTCACCTTTCTCTTCATAGAGCAGTTTGGAAAGACTCTGTCTGTAAAGTCTGCAAGTGATTAGTTAGACCCCTTTGAGGCCTTCGTTGGAAGCGGGATTTCTCATTTACTGCTAGACAGAAGAATTCTCAGTAAATCCTTTGTGTTGTGTGTATTCAACTCACAGAGTGGAACCTTCCTTTATTCAGAGCAGTTTTGAAAAACACTTTTCGTGGAATTTGCAAGTGGAGATTTCAAGCGATTTGACGCCAATCTTAGACATGGAAATATCTTCATATTAAAAGTACACAGAGTCATTCGTAGAAACTAGTTTGTGATGTGTGCCTTCAACTCACAGAGTTTAACCTTTCTTTTCATAGAGCAGTTTGGAAACACTCTATTTGTAAAGTCTGCACGTGGATATTTGGACCTCTTTGAGGCCTTCGTTGGAAACGGGATTTCCTCATATAATGCTAGACAGAAGAATTCTCAGTAACTTCTTTGTGTTGTTTGTATTCAACACACAGATTTGAACCTTCCTTTAGAGAGAGCAGATTTGAAACACTCTGTTTTTGGAATTTGCAAGTGCAGATTTCAAGCGCTTCTAGGCCTATGGCAGAAAAGGAAATATCTTCGTATAAAAACTACACAGAATCATTCTCAACAACTACTTTGTGATGTGTGCGTTCAACTCACAGAGTTTAACCTTTCTTTTCATAGAGCAGTTTGGAAACACTCTGTTTGTAAAGCCTGCAAGTGCTTTTTTGGACTTCATTGAGGCCTTCGTTGGAAATGGGATTTCTTCATACAACGCTAGACAGAAGAATTCTCAGTAACTTCTTTGTGTTGTTTGTATTCAACTCACAGATTTGAACCTTCCTTTAGAGAGAGCAGATTTGAAACACTCTGTTTTTGGAATTAGCAAGTGCAGATTTCAAGCGCTTCTAGGCCTATGGCAGAAAAGGAAATATCTTCGTATAAAAACTACACAGAATCATTCTCAACAACTACTTTGTGATGTGTGCGTTCAACTCACAGAGTTTAACCTTTCTTTTCATACAGCAGTTTGGAAACACTCTGTTTGTAAAGCCTGCAAGTGCTTTTTTGGACTTCATTGAGGCCTTCGTTGGAAACGGGATTTCTTCATATAATGCTAGACAGAAGAATTCTCAGTCACTTCTTTGTGTTGTGTGTATTCAAGTCACAGAGTTGAACCTTCCTTTAGACAGAGCAGTTTTGAAAAATTCTTTCTGTGGAGTTTGCAAGTGGAGATTTCAAGCGATTTGAGGCTAATCTTTGAAATGGAAATATCTTCGTGTAAAAACTACACAGAATCATTCTCAGAAACTGCTTTGTCATCTGAGCGTTCAGTTCACAGAGTTTCACCTTTCTCTTCATAGAGCAGTTTGGAAAGACTCTGTCTGTAAAGTCTGCAAGTGATTAGTTAGACCCCTTTGAGGCCTTCGTTGGAAGCGGGATTTCTCATTTACTGCTAGACAGAAGAATTCTCAGTAAATCCTTTGTGTTGTGTGTATTCAACTCACAGAGTGGAACCTTCCTTTATTCAGAGCAGTTTTGAAAAACACTTTTTGTGGAATTTGCAAGTGGAGATTTCAAGCGATTTGACGCCAATCTTAGACATGGAAATATGCTTCATATTAAAAGTACACAGAGTCATTCGTAGAAACTAGTTTGTGATGTGTGCCTTCAACTCACAGAGTTTAACCTTTCTTTTCATAGAGCAGTTGGGAAACACTCTATTTGTAAAGTCTGCAAGTGGATATTTGGACCTCTTTGAGGCCTTCGTTGGAAACGGGATTTCTTCATATAACGCTAGACAGAAGAATTCTCAGTAACTTCTTTGTGTTGTGTGTATTCAACTCACAGAGTTGAACCTTTCTTTAGAGGGAGCAGAGGTGAAACACTCTTTTTGTGGAATTTGCTAGTGTAGATTTCAAACGCTTCGAAGACAGTGATAGAAAAGGATATATCTTCGTATTAAAAGTAGACAAAATCATTCTCAGAAAACTCTTTGTGATGTGTGTGTTCAACTCACAGAGTTTAACCTTTCTTTAATCGAGCAGTTTGGAAATACACTCTTTGTAAGTCTGCAGGTGGATATTTGGCCCTCTTTGAGCCCTTCGTTGGAAACGGGATTTCCTCATATAATGCTAGACAGAAGAATTCTCAGTAACTTCTTTGTGTTGTTTGTATTCAACACACAGATTTGAACCTTCCTTTAGAGAGAGCAGATTTGAAACACTCTGTTTTTGGAATTTGCAAGTGCAGATTTCAAGCGCTTCTAGGCCTATGGCAGAAAAGGAAATATCTTCGTATAAAAACTACACAGAATCATTCTCAACAACTACTTTGTGATGTGTGCGTTCAACTCACAGAGTTTAACCTTTCTTTTCATAGAGCAGTTTGGAAACACTCTGTTTGTAAAGCCTGCAAGTGCTTTGTTGGACTTCATTGAGGCCTTCGTTGGAAACGGGATTTCTTCATACAACGCTAGACAGAAGAATTCTCAGTAACTTCTTTGTGTTGTGTGTATTCAACTCACAGAGTTGAATCTTTCTTTAGAGAGAGCAGAGTTGAAACACTCTGTTTTTGGAATTTGGAAGTGCAGATTTCAAGGGATTCTAGGCCTATGGCAGAAAAGGAAATATCTTCGTATAAAAACTACACAGAATCATTCTCAACAACTACTTTGTGATGTGTGCGTTCAACTCACAAAGTTTAACCTTTCTTTTCATAGAGCCGTTTGGAAACACTCTGTTTGTAAAGCCTGCAATTGCTTTTTTGGACTTCATTGAGGCCTTCGTTGGAAACGGGATTTCTTCATATAATCCTAGACAGAAGAATTCTCAGTAACTTCTTTGTGTTGTGTGTATTCAACTCACAGAGTTGAACCTTTCTTTAGAGAGAGCATAGTTGAAACACTCTGTTTTTGGAATTTGCAAGTGCAGATTTCAAGCGCTTCTAGGCCTATGGCAGAAAAGGAAATATCTTCGTATAAAAACTACACAGAATCATTCTCAACAACTACTTTGTGATGTGTGCGTTCAACTCACAGAGTTTAACCTTTCTTTTCATAGAGCAGTTTGGAAACACTCTGTTTGTAAAGCCTGCAAGTGCTTTTTTGGACTTCATTGAGGCCTTCGTTGGAAACGGGATTTCTTCATACAACGCTAGACAGAAGAATTCTCAGTCACTTCTTTGTGTTGTTTGTATTCAACTCACAGAGTTGAACCTTTCTTTAGAGAGAGCAGAGTTGAAACACTCTGTTTTTGGAATTTGCAAGTGCAGATTTCAAGCGATTCTAGGCCTATGGCAGAAAAGGAAATATCTTCGTATAAAAACTACACAGAATCATTCTCAACAACTACTTTGTGATGTGTGCGTTCAACTCACAGAGTTTAACCTTTCTTTTCATAGAGCAGTTTGGAAACACTCTGTTTGTAAAGCCTGCAAGTGCTTTTTTGGACTTCATTGAGGCCTTCGTTGGAAACGGGATTTCTTCATATAATGCTAGACAGAAGAATTCTCAGTCACTTCTTTGTGTTGTGTGTATTCAAGTCACAGAGTTGAACCTTCTTTTAGACAGAGCAGTTTTGAAAAATTTTTTCTGTGGAATTTGCAAGTGGAGATTTCAAGCGATTTGAGGCTAATCTTTGAAATGGAAATATCTTCGTGTAAAAACTACACAGAATCATTCTCAGAAACTGCTTTGTTATGTGTGCGTTCAGTTCACAGAGTTTCACCTTTCTCTTCATAGAGCAGTTTGGAAAGACTCTGTCTGTAAAGTCCGCAAGTGATTAGTTAGACCCCTTTGAGGCCTTCGTTGGAAGCGGGATTTCTCATTTACTGCTAGACAGAAGAATTCTCAGTAAATCCTTTGTGTTGTGTGTATTCAACACACAGAGTGGAACCTTCCTTTATTCAGAGCACTTTTGAAAAACACTTTTTGTGGAATTTGCAAGTGGAGATTTCAAGCGATTTGACGCCAATCTTAGACATGGAAATATCTTCATATTAAAAGTACACAGAGTCATTCGTAAAAACTAGTTTGTGATGTGTGCCTTCAACTCACAGAGTTTAACCTTTCTTTTCATAGAGCAGTTTGGAAACACTCTATTTGTAAAGTCTGCAAGTGGATATTTGGACCTCTTTGAGGCCTTCGTTGGAAACGGGATTTCTTCATACAACGCTAGACAGAAGAATTCTCAGTAACTTCTTTGTGTTGTTTGTATTCAACTCACAGAGTTGAACCTTTCTTTCGAGAGAGCAGAGTTGAAACACTCTGTTTTTGGAATTTGCAAGTGCAGATTTCAAGCGATTCTAGGCCTATGGCAGAAAAGGAAATATCTTCGTATAAAAACTACACAGAATCATTCTCAACAACTACTTTGTGATGTGTGCGTTCAACTCATAGAGTTTAACCTTTCTTTTCACAGAGCAGTTTGGAAACACTCTGTTTGTAAAGCCTGCAAGTGCTTTTTTGGACTTCATTGAGGCCTTCGTTGGAAACGGGATTTCTTCATATAATGCTAGACAGAAGAATTCTAAGTCACTTCTTTGTGTTGTGTGTATTCAAGTCACAGAGTTGAACCTTCCTTTAGACAGAGCAGTTTTGAAAAATTCTTTCTGTGGAGTTTGCAAGTGGAGATTTCAAGCGATTTGAGGCTAATCTTTGAAATGGAAATATCTTCGTGTCAAAACTACACAGAATCATTCTCAGAAACTGCTTTGTCATCTGTGCGTTCAGTTCACAGAGTTTCACCTTTCTCTTCATAGAGCAGTTTGGAAAGACTCTGTCTGTAAAGTCTGCAAGTGATTAGTTAGACCCCTTTGAGGCCTTCGTTGGAAGCGGGATTTCTCATTTACTGCTAGACAGAAGAATTCTCAGTAAATCCTTTGTGTTGTGTGTATTCAACTCACAGAGTGGAACCTTCCTTTATTCAGAGCAGTTTTGAAACACTCTTTTTGTGGAATTTGCAAGTGGAGATTTCAAGCGATTTGACGCCAATACTTAGACATGGAAATATCTTCATATTAAAAGTACACAGAAGTCATTCGCAGAAACTAGTTTGTGATGTGTGCCTTCAACTCACGGAGTTTAACCTTTCTTTTCATAGAGCAGTTTGGAAACACTCTCTTTGTAAAGTCTGCAAGTGGATATTTGGACCTCTTTGAGGCCTTCGTTGGAAACGGGATTTCTTCATATAACGCTAGACAGAAGAATTCTCAGTAACTTCTTTGTGTTGTGTGTATTCAACTCACAGTAGTTGAACCTTTCTTGAGAGAGAGCAGAGTTGAAACACTCTTTCTGTGGAATTTGCTAGTGCAGATTTCAAACGCTTCGAAGACAGTGATAGAAAAGGATATATCTTCGTATTAAAACTAGACAAAATCATTCTCAACAACTACTTTGTGATGTGTGCGTTCAACTCACAGAGTTTAACCTTTCTTTTCATAGAGCAGTTTGGAAACACTCTGTTTGTAAAGTCTGCAGGTGCTTATTTGGACTTCTTTGAGGCCTTCGTTGGAAACGGGATTTCTTCATATAATGCTAGACAGAAGAATTCTCAGTCACTTCTTTGTGTTGTGTGTATTCAAGTCACAGAGTTGAACCTTCCTTTACACAGAGCAGTTTTGAAAAACTCTTTCTGTGGAATTTGCAAGTGGAGATTTCAAGCGATTTGAGGCTAATCTTTGAAATGGAAATATCTTCGTGTAAAAACTACACAGAATCATTCTCAGAAACTGCTTTGTTATGTGTGCGTTCAGCTCACAGAGTTCCACCTTTCTTTTCATAGAGCAGTTTGGAAAGACTCTGTCTGTAAAGTCTGCAAGTGATTACTTGGACCCCTTTGAGGACTTCGTTGGAAGCGGGATTTTTTCATTTACTGCTAGACAGAGAATTCTCAGTAAATCCTTCGTGTTGTGTGTATTCAACTCACAGAGTGGAACCTTCCTTTATTCAGAGCAGTTTTGAAACACTCTTTTTGTGGAATTTGCAAGTGGAGATTTCAAGCGAATTCACGCCAATCTTAGACATGGAAACATCTTCGTATTAAAAGTACACAGAGTCATTCGCAGAAACTAGTTTGTGATGTGTGCCTTCAACTCACAGAGTTTAAGCTTTCTTTTCATAGAGCAGTTTGGAAACACTCTATTTGTAAAGTCTGCAAGTGGATATTTGGAACTCTTTGAGGCCTTCGTTGGAAACGGGATTTCTTCATATAACGCTAGACAGAAGAATTCTCAGTAACTTCTTTGTGTTGTTTGTATTCAACTCACAGATTTGAACCTTCCTTTAGAGAGAGCAGATTTGAAACACTCTGTTTTTGGAATTTGCAAGTGCAGATTACAAGCGCTTCTAGGCCTATGGCAGAAAAGGAAATATCTTCGTATAAAAACTACACAGAATCATTCTCAACAACTACTTTGTGATGTGTGCGTTCAACTCACAGAGTTTAACCTTTCTTTTCATAGAGCAGTTTGGAAACACTCTGTTTGTAAAGTCTGCAGGTGCTTATTTGGACTTCTTTGAGGCCTTCGTTGGAAACGGGATTTCTTCATGTAATGGTAGACAGAAGAATTCTCAGTCACTTCTTTGTGTTGTGTGTATTCAAGTCACAGAGTTGAACCTTCCTTTACACAGAGCAGTTTTGAAAAACTCTTTCTGTGGAATTTGCAAGTGGAGATTTCAAGCGATTTGAGGCTAATCTTTGAAATGGAAATAGCTTCGTGTAAAAACTACACAGAATCATTCTCAGAAACTGCTTTGTTATGTGTGCGTTCAGCTCACAGAGTTCCACCTTTCTTTTCATAGAGCAGTTTGGAAAGACTCTGTCTGTAAAGTCTGCAAGTGATTACTTGGACCCCTTTGAGGACTTTGTTGGAAGCGGGATTTTTTCATTTACTGCTAGACAGAAGAATTCTCAGTAAATCCTTTGTGTTGTGTGTATTCAACTCACAGAGTGGAACCTTCCTTTATTCAGAGCAGTTTTGAAAAACACTTTTTGTGGAATTTGCAAGTGGAGATTTCAAGCGATTTGACGCCAATCTTAGACATGGAAATATCTTCATATTAAAAGTACACAGAGTCATTCGTAGAAACTAGTTTGTGATGTGTGCCTTCAACTCACAGAGTTTAACCTTTCTTTTCATAGAGCAGTTCGGAAACACTCTATTTGTAAAGTCTGCAAGTGGATATTTGGACCTCTTTGAGGCCTTCGTTGGAAAGGGGATTTCTTCATATAACGCTAGACAGAAGAATTCTCAGTAACTTCTTTGTGTTGTGTGTATTCAACTCACAGAGTTGAACCTTTCTTGAGAGAGAGCAGAGTTGAAACACTCTTTTTGTGGAATTTGCTAGTGCAGATTTCAAACGCTTCGAAGACAGTGATAGAAAAGGATATATCTTCGTATTAAAACTAGACAAAATCATTCTCAGAAAACACTTTGTGATGTGTGTGTTCAACTCACAGAGTTTAACCTTTCTGTAATCGAGCAGTTTGGAAATACACTCTTTGTAAGTCTGCAGGTGGATAATTGTCCCTCTATGAGCCCTTCGTTGGAAACGGGATTTCCTCATATAATGCTAGACAGAAGAATTCTCAGTAACTTCTTTGTGTTGTTTGTATTCAACTCACAGATTTGAACTTTCCTTTAGAGAGAGGAGATTTGAAACACTCTGTTTTTGGAAATTGTAAGTGCAGATTGCAAGCGCTTCTAGGCCTATGGCAGAAAAGGAAATATCTTCGTGTAAAAACTACACAGAATCATTCTCAACAACTACTTTGTGATGTGTGCTTTCAACTCACAGAGTTTAACCTTTCTTTTCATAGAGCAGTTTGGAAACACTCTGTTTGTAAAGTCTGCAGGTGCTTATTTGGACTTCTTTGAGGCCTTCGTTGGAAACGGGATTTCTTCATATAATGCTAGACAGAAGAATTCTCAGTCACTTCTTTGTGTTGTGTGTATTCAAGTCACAGAGTTGAACCTTCCTTTACACAGAGCAGTTTTGAAAAACTCTTTCTGTGGAATTTGCAAGTGGAGATTTCAAGCGATTTGAGGCTAATCTTTGAAATGGAAATATCTTCGTGTAAAAACTACACAGAATCATTCTCAGAAACTGCTTTGTTATGTGTGCGTTCAGCTCGCAGAGTTCCACCTTTCTTTTCATAGAGCAGTTTGGAAAGACTCTGTCTGTAAAGTCTGCAAGTGATTACTTGGACCCCTTTGAGGACTTCGTTGGAAGCGGTATTTTTTCATTTACTGCTAGACAGAAGAATTCTCAGTAAATCCTTCGTGTTGTGTGTATTCAACTCACAGAGTGGAACCTTCCTTTATTCAGAGCAGTTTTGAAACACTCTTTTTGTGGAATTTGCAAGTGGAGATTTCAAGCGAATTCACGCCAATTTTAGACATGGAAACATCTTCGTATTAAAAGTACACAGAGTCATTCGCAGAAACTAGTTTGTGATGTGTGCCTTCAACTCACAGAGTTTAAGCTTTCTTTTCATAGAGCAGTTTGGAAACACTCTATTTGTAAAGTCTGCAAGTGGATATTTGGACCTCTTTGAGGCCTTCGTTGGAAACGGGATTTCTTCATATAACGCTAGACAGAAGAATTCTCAGTAACTTCTTTGTGTTGTGTGTATTCCACTCACAGAGTTGAACCTTTCTTGAGAGAGAGCAGAGTTGAAACACTCTTTCTGTGGAATTTGCTAGTGCAGATTTCAAACGCTTCGAAGACAGTGATAGAAAAGGATATATCTTCGTATTAAAACTAGACAAAATCATTCTCAGAAAACACTTTGTGATGTGTGTGTTCAACTCACAGAGTTTAACCTTTCTTTAATCGAGCAGTTTGGAAATACACTCTTTGTAAGTCTGCAGCTGGATAATTGTCCCTCTATGAGCCCTTCGTTGGAAACGGGATTTCCTCTTATAATGCTAGACAGAAGAATTCTCAGTCACTTCTTTGTGTTGTGTGTATTCAAGTCACAGAGTTGAACCTTCCTTTACACAGAGCAGTTTTGAAAAACTCTTTCTGTGGAATTTGCAAGTGGAGATTTCAAGCGATTTGAGGCTAATCTTTGAAATGGAAATAGCTTCGTGTAAAAACTACACAGAATCATTCTCAGAAACTGCTTTGTTATGTGTGCGTTCAGCTCACAGAGTTCCACCTTTCTTTTCATAGAGCAGTTTGGAAAGACTCTGTCTGTAAAGTCTGCAAGTGATTACTTGGACCCCTTTGAGGACTTCGTTGGAAGCGGGATTTTTTCATTTACTGCTAGACAGAAGAATTCTCAGTAAATCCTTTGTGTTGTGTGTATTCAACTCACAGAGTGGAACCTTCCTTTATTCAGAGCACTCTTGAAACACTCTTTTTGTGGAATTTGCAAGTGGAGATTTCAAGCGAATTCACGCCAATCTTAGACATGGAAACATCTTCGTATTAAAAGTACACAGAATCATTCTCAGAAAACACTTTGTGATGTGTGTGTTCAACTCACAGAGTTTAACCTTTCTTTAATCGAGCAGTTTGGAAATACACTCTTTGTAAGTCTGCAGGTGGATAATTGGCCCTCTTTGAGCCCTTCATTGGAAACGGGATTTCCTCATATAGTGCTAGACAGAAGAATTCTCAGTAACTTCTTTGTGTTGTTTGTATTCAACTCACAGATTTGAACCTTCCTTTAGAGAGAGCAGATTTGAAACACTCTGTTTTTGGAATTTGCAAGTGCAGATTTAAAGCGATTCTAGGCCTATGGCAGAAAAGGAAATATCTTCGTATAAAAACTACACAGAATCATTCTCAACAACTACTTTGTGATGTGTGCGTTCAACTCACAGAGTTTAACCTTTCTTTTCATAGAGCAGTTTGGAAACACTCTGTTTGTAAAGCCTGCAAGTGCTTTTTTGGACTTCATTGAGGCCTTTGTTGGAAACGGGATTTCTTCATATAATGCTAGACAGAAGAATTCTCAGTCACTTCTTTGTGTTGTGTGTATTCAAGTCACAGAGTTGAACCTTCCTTTAGACAGAGCAGTTTTGAAAAATTCTTTCTGTGGAGTTTGCAAGTGGAGATTTCAAGCGATTTGAGGCTAATCTTTGAAATGGAAATATCTTCGTGTAAAAACTACACAGAATCATTCTCAGAAACTGCTTTGTCATCTGTGCGTTCAGTTCACAGAGTTTCACCTTTCTCCTCATAGAGCAGTTTGGAAAGACTCTGTCTGTAAAGTCTGCAAGTGATTAGTTAGACCCCTTTGAGGCCTTCGTTGGAAGCGGGATTTCTCATTTACTGCTAGACAGAAGAATTCTCAGTAAATCCTTTGTGTTGTCTGTATTCAACTCACAGAGTGGAACCTTCCTTTATTCAGAGCAGTTTTGAAAAACACTTTTTGTGGAATTTGCAAGTGGAGATTTCAAGCGATTTGACGCCAATCTTACACATGGAAATATCTTCATATTAAAAGTACACAGAGTCATTCGCAGAAACTAGTTTGTGATGTGTGCCTTCAACTCACGGAGTTTAACCTTTCTTTTCATAGAGCAGTTTGGAAACACTCTCTTTGTAAAGTCTGCAAGTGGATATTTGGACCTCTTTGAGGCCTTCGTTGGAAACGGGATTTCTTCATATAACGCTAGACAGAAGAATTCTCAGTAACTTCTTTGTGTTGTGTGTATTCCACTCACAGAGTTGAACCTTTCTTGAGAGAGAGCAGAGTTGAAACACTCTTTCTGTGGAATTTGCTAGTGCAGATTTCAAACGCTTCGAAGACAGTGATAGAAAAGGATATATCTTCGTATTAAAACTAGACAAAATCATTCTCAGAAAACACTTTGTGATGTGTGTGTTCAACTCACAGAGTTTAACCTTTCTTTAATCGAGCAGTTTGGAAATACACTCTTTGTAAGTCTGCAGCTGGATAATTGTCCCTCTAGGAGCCCTTCGTTGGAAACGGGATTTCCTCTTATAATGCTAGACAGAAGAATTCTCAGTCACTTCTTTGTGTTGTGTGTATTCAAGTCACAGAGTTGAACCTTCCTTTAGACAGAGCAGTTTTGAAAAATTCTTTCTGTGGAGTTTGCAAGTGGAGATTTCAAGCGATTTGAGGCTAATCTTTGAAATGGAAATATCTTCGTGTAAAAACTACACAGAATCATTCTCAGAAACTGCTTTGTTATGTGTGCGTTCAGCTCACAGAGTTCCACCTTTCTTTTCATAGAGCAGTTTGGAAAGACTCTGTCTGTAAAGTCTGCAAGTGATTACTTGGACCCCTTTGAGGAGTTCGTTGGAAGCGGGATTTTTTCATTTACTGCTAGACAGAAGAATTCTCAGTAAATCCTTTGTGTTGTGTGTATTCAACTCACAGAGTGGAACCTTCCTTTATTCAGAGCAGTTTTGAAACACTCTTTTTGTGGAATTTGCAAGTGGAGATTTCAAGCGAATTCACGCCAATCTTAGACATGGAAACATCTTCGTATTAAAAGTACACAGAGTCATTCGCAGAAACTAGTTTGTGATGTGTGCCTTCAACTCACGGAGTTTAACCTTTCTTTTCATAGAGCAGTTTGGAAACACTCTATTTGTAAAGTCTGCAAGTGGATATTTGGACCTCTTTGAGGCCTTCGTTGGAAATGGGATTTCTTCATATAACGCTAGACAGAAGAATTCTCAGTAACTTCTTTGTGTTGTGTGTATTCAACTCACAGAGTTGAACCTTTCTTTAGAGAGAGCAGAGTTGAAACACTCTGTTTTTGGAATTTGCAAGTGCAGATTTCAAGCGATTCTAGGCCTATGGCAGAAAAGGAAATATCTTCGTATAAAAACTACACAGAATCATTCTCAACAACTACTTTGTGATGTGTGCGTTCAACTCACAGAGTTTAACCTTTCTTTTCATAGAGGAGTTTGGAAACACTCTGTTTGTAAAGCCTGCAAGTGCTTTTTTGGACTTCATTGAGGCCTTCGTTGGAAACGGGATTTCTTCATATAATGCTAGACAGAAGAATTCTCAGTCACTTCTTTGTGTTGTGTGTATTCAAGTCACAGAGTTGAACCTTCCTTTAGACAGAGCAGTTTTGAAAAATTCTTTCTGTGTAATTTGCAAGTGGAGATTTCAAGCGATTTGAGGCTAATCTTTGAAATGGAAATATCTTCGTGTAAAAACTACACAGAATCATTCTCAGAAACTGCTTTGTCATCTGTGCGTTCAGTTCACAGAGTTTCACCTTTCTCTTCATAGAGCAGTTTGGAAAGACTCTGTCTGTAAAGTCTGCAAGTGATTAGTTAGACCCCTTTGAGGCCTTCGTTGGAAGCGGGATTTCTCATTTACTGCTAGACAGAAGAATTCTCAGTAAATCCTTTGTGTTGTGTGTATTCAACTCACAGAGTGGAACCTTCCTTTATTCAGAGCAGTTTTGAAACACTCTTTTTGTGGAATTTGCAAGTGGAGATTTCAAGCGATTTGACGCCAATCTTAGACATGGAAATATCTTCATATTAAAAGTACACAGAGTCATTCGTAGAAACTAGTTTGTGATGTGTGCCTTCAACTCACAGAGTTTAACCTTTCTTTTCATAGAGCAGTTTGGAAACACTCTATTTGTAAAGTCTGCAAGTGGATATTTGGACCTCTTTGAGGCCTTCGTTGGAAACGGGATTTCCTCATATAATGCTAGACAGAAGAATTCTCAGTAACTTCTTTGTGTTGTGTGTATTCAACTCACAGAGTTGAACCTTTCTTTAGAGAGAGCAGAGTTGAAACACTCTGTTTTTGGAATTTGCAAGTGCAGATTTCAAGCGATTCTAGGCCTATGGCAGAAAAGGAAATATCTTCGTATAAAAACTACACAGAATCATTCTCAACAACTACTTTGTGATGTGTGCGTTCAACTCACAGAGTTTAACCTTTCTTTTCATAGAGCAGTTTGGAAACACTCTGTTTGTAAAGCCTGCAAGTGCTTTTTTGGACTTCATTGAGGCCTTCGTTGGAAACGGGATTTCTTCATATAATGCTAGACAGAAGAATTCTCAGTCACTTCTTTGTGTTGTGTGTATTCAAGTCACAGAGTTGAACCTTCCTTTAGACAGAGCAGTTTTGAAAAATTCTTTCTGTGGAATTTGCAAGTGGAGATTTCAAGCGATTTGAGGCTAATCTTTGAAATGGAAATATCTTCGTGTAAAAACTACACAGAATCATTCTCAGAAACTGCTTTGTCATCTGTGCGTTCAGTTCACAGAGTTTCACCTTTCTCTTCATAGAGCAGTTTGGAAAGACTCTGTCTGTAAAGTCTGCAAGTGATTAGTTAGACCCCTTTGAGGCCTTCGTTGGAAGCGGGATTTCTCATTTACTGCTAGACAGAAGAATTCTCAGTAAATCCTTTGTGTTGTGTGTATTCAACTCACAGAGTGGAACCTTCCTTTATTCAGAGCAGTTTTGAAACACTCTTTTTGTGGAATTTGCAAGTGGAGATTTCAAGCGATTTGACGCCAATCTGAGACATGGAAATATCTTCATATTAAAAGTACACAGAGTCATTCGTAGAAACTAGTTTGTGATGTGTGCCTTCAACTCACAGAGTTTAACCTTTCTTTTCATAGAGCAGTTGGGAAACACTCTATTTGTAAAGTCTGCAAGTGGATATTTGGACCTCTTTGAGGCCTTCGTTGGAAACGGGATTTCTTCATATAACGCTAGACAGAAGAATTCTCAGTAACTTCTTTGTGTTGTGTGTATTCAACTCACAGAGTTGAACCTTTCTTTAGAGGGAGCAGAGGTGAAACACTCTTTTTGTGGAATTTGCTAGTGTAGATTTCCAACGCTTCGAAGACAGTGATAGAAAAGGATATATCTTCGTATTAAAAGTAGACAAAATCATTCTCAGAAAACTCTTTGTGATGTGTGTGTTCAACTCACAGAGTTTAACCTTTCTTTAATCGAGCAGTTTGGAAATACACTCTTTGTAAGTCTGCTGGTGGATATTTGGCCCTCTTTGAGCCCTTCGTTGGAAACGGGATTTCCTCATATAATGCTAGACAGAAGAATTCTCAGTAACTTCTTTGTGTTGTTTGTATTCAACACACAGATTTGAACCTTCCTTTAGAGAGAGCAGATTTGAAACACTCTGTTTTTGGAATTTGCAAGTGCAGATTTCAAGCGCTTCTTGGCCTATGGCAGAAAAGGAAATATCTTCGTATAAAAACTACACAGAATCATTCTCAACAGCTACTTTGTGATGTGTGTGTTCAACTCACAGAGTTTAACCTTTCTTTTCATAGAGCAGTTTGGAAACACTCTGTTTGTAAAGCCTGCAAGTGCTTTTTTGGACTTCATTGAGGCCTTCGTTGGAAACGGGATTTCTTCATATAATGCTAGACAGAAGAATTCTCAGTCACTTCTTTGTGTTGTGTGTATTCAAGTCACAGAGTTGAACCTTCCTTTAGACAGAGCAGTTTTGAAAAATTCTTTCTGTGGAGTTTGCAAGTGGAGATTTCAAGCGATTTGAGGCTAATCTTTGAAATGGAAATATCTTCGTGTAAAAACTACACAGAATCATTCTCAGAAACTGCTTTGTCCTCTGTGCGTTCAGTTCACAGAGTTTCACCTTTCTCTTCATAGAGCAGTTTGCAAAGACTCTGTCTGTAAAGTCTGCAAGTGATTAGTTAGACCCCTTTGAGGCCTTCGTTGGAAGCGGGATTTCTCATTTACTGCTAGACAGAAGAATTCTCAGTAAATCCTTTGTGTTGTGTGTATTCAACTCACAGAGTGGAACCTTCCTTTATTCAGAGCAGTTTTGAAAAACACTTTTTGTGGAATTTGCAAGTGGAGATTTCAAGCGATTTGACGCCAATCTTAGACATGGAAATATCTTCATATTAAAAGTACACAGAGTCATTCGTAGAAACTAGTTTGTGATGTGTGCCTTCAACTCACAGAGTTTAACCTTTCTTTTCATAGAGCAGTTGGGAAACACTCTATTTGTAAAGTCTGCAAGTGGATATTTGGACCTCTTTGAGGCCTTCGTTGGAAACGGGATTTCTTCATATAACGCTAGACAGAAGAATTCTCAGTAACTTCTTTGTGTTGTGTGTATTCAACTCACAGAGTTGAACCTTTCTTTAGAGAGAGCAGAGTTGAAACACTCTGTTTTTGGAATTTGCAACTGCAGATTTCAAGCGATTCTAGGCCTATGGCAGAAAAGGAAATATCTTCGTATAAAAACTACACAGAATCATTCTCAACAACTATTTTGTGATGTGTGTGTTCAACTCACAGAGTTTAACCTTTCTTTTCATAGAGCAGTTTGGAAACACTCTGTTTGTAAAGCCTGCAAGTGCTTTTTTGAACTTCATTGAGGCCTTCGTTGGAAACGGGATTTCTTCATACAACGCTAGACAGAAGAATTCTCAGTAACTTCTTTGTGTTGTGTGTATTCAACTCACAGAGTTGAATCTTCCTTTAGAGAGAGCAGAGTTGAAACACTCTGTTTTTGGAATTTGCAAGTGCAGATTTCAAGCGCTTCTAGGCCTATGGCAGAAAAGGAAATATCTTCGTATAAAAACTACACAGAATCATTCTCAACAACTACTTTGTGATGTGTGCGTTCAACTCACAGAGTTAACCTTTCTTTTCATAGAGCAGTTTGGAAACACTCTGTTTGTAAAGCCTGCAAGTGCTTTTTTGGACTTCATTGAGGCCTTCGTTGGAAACGGGATTTCTTCATATAATGCTAGACAGAAGAATTCTCAGTCACTTCTTTGTGTTGTGTGTATTCAAGTCACAGAGTTGAACCTTCCTTTAGACAGAGCAGTTTTGAAAAATTCTTTCTGTGGAGTTTGCAAGTGGAGATTTCAAGCGATTTGAGGCTAATCTTTGAAATGGAAATATCTTCGTGTAAAAACTACACAGAATCATTCTCAGAAACTGCTTTGTCATCTGTGCGTTCAGTTCACAGAGTTTCACCTTTCTCTTCATAGAGCAGTTTGGAAAGACTCTGTCTGTAAAGTCTGCAAGTGATTAGTTAGACCCCTTTGAGGCCTTCGTTGGAAGCGGGATTTCTCATTTACTGCTAGACAGAAGAATTCTCAGTAAATCCTTTGTGTTGTGTGTATTCAACTCACAGAGTGGAACCTTCCTTTATTCAGAGCAGTTTTGAAACACTCTTTTTGTGGAATTTGCAAGTGGAGATTTCAAGCGATTTGACGCCAATCTTAGACATGGAAATATCTTCATATTAAAAGTACACAGAGTCATTCGTAGAAACTAGTTTGTGATGTGTGCCTTCAACTCACAGAGTTTAACCTTTCTTTTCATAGAGCAGTTGGGAAACACTCTATTTGTAAAGTCTGCAAGTGGATATTTGGACCTCTTTGAGGCCTTCGTTGGAAACGGGATTTCTTCATATAACGCTAGACAGAAGAATTCTCAGTAACTTCTTTGTGTTGTGTGTATTCAACTCACAGAGTTGAACCTTTCTTTAGAGGGAGCAGAGGTGAAACACTCTTTTTGTGGAATTTGCTAGTGTAGATTTCAAACGCTTCGAAGACAGTGATAGAAAAGGATATATCTTCGTATTAAAAGTAGACAAAATCATTCTCAGAAAACTCTTTGTGATGTGTGTGTTCAACTCACAGAGTTTAACCTTTCTTTAATCGAGCAGTTTGGAAATACACTCTTTGTAAGTCTGCAGGTGGATATTTGGCCCTCTTTGAGCCCTTCGTTGGAAACGGGATTTCCTCATATAATGCTAGACAGAAGAATTCTCAGTAACTTCTTTGTGTTGTTTGTATTCAACACACAGATTTGAACCTTCCTTTAGAGAGAGCAGATTTGAAACACTCTGTTTTTGGAATTTGCAAGTGCAGATTTCAAGCGCTTCTAGGCCTATGGCAGAAAAGGAAATATCTTCGTATAAAAACTACACAGAATCATTCTCAACAACTACTTTGTGATGTGTGCGTTCAACTCACAGAGTTTAACCTTTCTTTTCATAGAGCAGTTTGGAAACACTCTGTTTGTAAAGCCTGCAAGTGCTTTTTTGGACTTCATTGAGGCCTTCGTTGGAAACGGGATTTCTTCATATAATGCTAGACAGAAGAATTCTCAGTCACTTCTTTGTGTTGTGTGTATTCAAGTCACAGAGTTGAACCTTCCTTTAGACAGAGCAGTTTTGAAAAATTCTTTCTGTGGAGTTTGCAAGTGGAGATTTCAAGCGATTTGAGGCTAATCTTTGAAATGGAAATATCTTCGTGTAAAAACTACACAGAATCATTCTCAGAAACTGCTTTGTCATCTGTGCGTTCAGTTCACAGAGTTTCACCTTTCTCTTCATAGAGCAGTTTGGAAAGACTCTGTCTGTAAAGTCTGCAAGTGATTAGTTAGACCCCTTTGAGGCCTTCGTTGGAAGCGGGATTTCTCATTTACTACTAGACAGAAGAATTCTCAGTAAATCCTTTGTGTTGTGTGTATTCAACTCACAGAGTGGAACCTTCCTTTATTCAGAGCAGTTTTGAAACACTCTTTTTGTGGAATTTGCAAGTGGAGATTTCAAGCGAATTCACGCCAATCTTAGACATGGAAACATCTTCGTATTAAAAGTACACAGAGTCATTCGCAGAAACTAGTTTGTGATGTGTGCCTTCAACTCACGGAGTTTAACCTTTCTTTTCATAGAGCAGTTTGGAAACACTCTATTTGTAAAGTCTGCAAGTGGATATTTGGACCTCTTTGAGGCCTTCGTTGGAAACGGGATTTCTTCATATAACGCTAGACAGAAGAATTCTTAGTAACTTCTTTGTGTTGTGTGTATTCCACTCACAGAGTTGAACCTTTCTTGAGAGAGAGCAGAGTTGAAACACTCTGTTTGTGGAATTTGCTAGTGCAGATTTCAAACGCTTCGAAGACAGTGATAGAAAAGGATATATCTTCGTATTAAAACTAGACAAAATCATTCTCAGAAAACACTTTGTGATGTGTGTGTTCAACTCACAGAGTTTAACCTTTCTTTAATCGAGCAGTTTGGAAATACACTCTTTGTAAGTCTGCAGCTGGATAATTGTCCCTCTATGAGCCCTTCGTTGGAAACGGGATTTCCTCATATAATGCTAGACAGAAGAATTCTCAGTCACTTCTTTGTGTTGTGTGTATTCAAGTCACAGAGTTGAACCTTCCTTTACACAGAGCAGTTTTGAAAAACTCTTTCTGTGGAATTTGCAAGTGGAGATTTCAAGTGATTTGAGGCTAATCTTTGAAATGGAAATAGCTTCGTGTAAAAACTACACAGAATCATTGTCAGAAACTGCTTTGTTATGTGTGCGTTCAGCTCACAGAGTTCCACCTTTCTTTTCATAGAGCAGTTTGGAAAGACTCTGTCTGTAAAGTCTGCAAGTGATTACTTGGACCCCTTTGAGGACTTCGTTGGAAGCGGGATTTTTTCATTTACTGCTAGACAGAAGAATTCTCAGTAAATCCTTTGTGTTGTGTGTATTCAACTCACAGAGTGGAACCTTCCTTTATTCAGAGCAGTTTTGAAACACTCTTTTTGTGGAATTTGCAAGTGGAGATTTCAAGCGAATTCACGCCAATCTTAGACATGGAAACATCTTCGTATTAAAAGTACACAGAGTCATTCGCAGAAACTAGTTTGTGATGTGTGCCTTCAACTCACAGAGTTTAACCTTTCTTTTCATAGAGCATTTTGGAAACACTCTATTTGTAAAGTCTGCAAGTGGATATTTGGACCTCTTTGAGGCCTTCGTTGGAAACGGGATTTCTTCATGTAACGCTAGACAGAAGAATTCTCAGTAACTTCTTTGTGTTGTGTGTATTCCACTCACAGAGTTGAACCTTTCTTGAGAGAGAGCAGAGTTGAAACACTCTGTTTGTGGAATTTGCTAGTGCAGATTTCAAACGCTTCGAAGACAGTGATAGAAAAGGATATATACTTCGTATTAAAACTAGACAAAATCATTCTCAGAAAACACTTTGTGATGTGTGTGTTCAACTCACAGAGTTTAACCTTTCTTTAATCGAGCAGTTTGGAAATACACTCTTTGTAAGTCTGCAGCTGGATAATTGTCCCTCTATGAGCCCTTCGTTGGAAACGGGATTTCCTCTTATAATGCTAGACAGAAGAATTCTCAGTCACTTCTTTGTGTTGTGTGTATTCAAGTCACAGAGTTGAACCTTCCTTTAGACAGAGCAGTTTTGAAAAATTCTTTCTGTGGAGTTTGCAAGTGGAGATTTCAAGCGATTTGAGGCTAATCTTTGAAATGGAAATATCTTCGTGTAAAAACTACACAGAATCATTCTCAGAAACTGCTTTGTCATCTGTGCGTTCAGTTCACAGAGTTTCACCTTTCTCTTCATAGAGCAGTTTGGAAAGACTCTGTCTGTAAAGTCTGCAAGTGATTAGTTAGAACCCTTTGAGGCCTTCGTTGGAAGCGGGATTTCTCATTTACTGCTAGACAGAAGAATTCTCAGTAAATCCTTTGTGTTGTGTGTATTCAACTCACAGAGTGGAACCTTCCTTTATTCAGAGCAGTTTTGAAACACTCTTTTTGTGGAATTTGCAAGTGGAGATTTCAAGCGATTTGACGCCAATCTTAGACATGGAAATATCTTCATATTAAAAGTACACAGAGTCATTCGTAGAAACTAGTTTGTGATGTGTGCCTTCAACTCACAGAGTTTAACCTTTCTTTTCATAGAGCAGTTGGGAAACACTGTATTTGTAAAGTCTGCAAGTGGATATTTGGACCTCTTTGAGGCCTTCGTTGGAAACGGGATTTCTTCATATAACGCTAGACAGAAGAATTCTCAGTAACTTCTTTGTGTTGTGTGTATTCAACTCACAGCAGTTGAACCTTTCTTGAGAGAGAGCAGAGTTGAAACACTCTTTCTGTGGAATTTCCTAGTGCAGATTTCAAACGCTTCGAAGACAGTGATAGAAAAGGATATATCTTCGTATTAAAACTAGACAAAATCATTCTCAGAAAACACTTTGTGATGTGTGTGTTCAACTCACAGAGTTTAACCTTTCTTTAATCGAGCAGTTTGGAAATACACTCTTTGTAAGTCTGCAGCTGGATAATTGTCCCTCTATGAGCCCTTCGTTGGAAACGGGATTTCCTCTTATAATGCTAGACAGAAGAATTCTCAGTCACTTCTTTGTGTTGTGTGTATTCAAGTCACAGAGTTGAACCTTCCTTTACACAGAGCAGTTTTGAAAAACTCTTTCTGTGGAATTTGCAAGTGGAGATTTCAAGCTATTTGAGGCTAATCTTTGAAATGGAAATAGCTTCGTGTAAAAACTACACAGAATCTTTCTCAGAAACTGCTTTGTTATGTGTGCGTTCAGCTCACAGAGTTCCACCTTTCTTTTCATAGAGCAGTTTGGAAAGACTCTGTCTGTAAAGTCTGCAAGTGATTACTTGGACCCCTTTGAGGACTTCGTTGGAAGCGGGATTTTTTCATTTACTGCTAGACAGAAGAATTCTCAGTAAATCCTTTGTGTTGTGTGTATTCAACTCACAGAGTGGAACCTTCCTTTATTCAGAGCAGTTTTGAAACACTCTTTTTGTGGAATTTGCAAGTGGAGATTTCAAGCGAATTCACGCCCATCTTAGACATGGAAACATCTTCGTATTAAAAGTACACAGAGTCATTCGCAGAAACTAGTTTGTGATGTGTGCGTTCAACTCACAGAGTTTAACCTTTCTTTTCATAGAGCAGTTTGGAAACACTCTGTTTGTAAAGTCTGCAGGTGCTTATTTGGACTTCTTTGAGGCCTTCGTTGGAAACGGGATTTCTTCATATAATGCTAGACAGAAGAATTCTCAGTCACTTCTTTGTGTTGTGTGTATTCAAGTCACAGAGTTGAACCTTCCTTTACACAGAGCAGTTTTGAAAAACTCTTTCTGTGGAATTTGCAAGTGGAGATTTCAAGCGATTTGAGGCTAATCTTTGAAATGGAAATATCTTCGTGTAAAAACTACACAGAATCATTGTCAGAAACTGCTTTGTTATGTGTGCGTTCAGCTCACAGAGTTCCACCTTTCTTTTCATAGAGCAGTTTGGAAAGACTCTGTCTGTAAAGTCTGCAAGTGATTACTTGGACCCCTTTGAGGACTTCGTTGGAAGCGGGATTTTTTCATTTACTGCTAGACAGAAGAATTCTCAGTAAATCCTTTGTGTTGTGTGTATTCAACTCACAGAGTGGAACCTTCCTTTATTCAGAGCAGTTTTGAAACACTCCTTTGTGGAATTTGCAAGTGGAGATTTCAAGCGAATTCACGCCAATCTTAGACATGGAAACATCTTCGTATTAAAAGTACACAGAGTCATTCGCAGAAACTAGTTTGTGATGTGTGCCTTCAACTCACGGAGTTTAACCTTTCTTTTCATAGAGCAGTTTGGAAACACTCTATTTGTAAAGTCTGCAAGTGGATATTTGGACCTCTTTGAGGCCTTCGTTGGAAACGGGATTTCTTCATATAACGCTAGACAGAAGAATTCTCAGTAACTTCTTTGTGTTGTGTGTATTCAACTCACAGAGTTGAACCTTTCTTTAGAGGGAGCAGAGGTGAAACACTCTTTTTGTGGAATTTGCTAGTGTAGATTTCAAACGCTTCGAAGACAGTGATAGAAAAGGATATATCTTCGTATTAAAAGTAGACAAAATCATTCTCAGAAAACTCTTTGTGATGTGTGTGTTCAACTCACAGAGTTTAACCTTTCTTTTCATAGAGCAGTTTGGAAACACTCTGTTTGTAAAGCCTGCAAGTGCTTTTTTGGACTTCATTGAGGCCTTCGTTGGAAACAGGATTTCTTCACACAACGCTAGACAGAAGAATTCTCAGTAACTTCTTTGTGTTGTGTGTATTCAACTCACAGAGTTGAACCTTTCTTTAGAGAGAGCAGAGTTGAAACACTCTGTTTTTGGAATTTGCAAGTTCAGATTTCAAGCGCTTCTAGGCCTAGGGCAGAAAAGGAAATATCTTCGTATAAAAACTACACAGAATCATTCTCAACAACTACTTTGTGATGTGTGCGTTCAACTCACAGAGTTTAACCTTTCTTTTCATAGAGCAGTTTGGAAACACTCTGTTTGTAAAGCCTGCAAGTGCTTTTTTGGACTTCATTGAGGCCTTCGTTGGAAACGGGATTTCTTCATATAATGCTAGACAGAAGAATTCTCAGTCACTTCTTTGTGTTGTGTGTATTCAAGTCACAGAGTTGAACCTTCCTTTAGACAGAGCAGTTTTGAAAAATTCTTTCTGTGGAGTTTGCAAGTGGAGATTTCAAGCGATTTGAGGCTAATCTTTGAAATGGAAATATCTTCGTGTAAAAACTACACAGAATCATTCTCAGAAACTGCTTTGTCATCTGTGCGTTCAGTTCACAGAGTTTCACCTTTCTCTTCATAGAGCAGTTTGGAAAGACTCTGTCTGTAAAGTCTGCAAGTGATTAGTTAGACCCCTTTGAGGCCTTCGTTGGAAGCGGGATTTCTCATTTACTGCTAGACAGAAGAATTCTCAGTAAATCCTTTGTGTTATGTGTATTCAACTCACAGAGTGGAACCTTCCTTTATTCAGAGCAGTTTTGAAAAACACTTTTTGTGGAATTTGCAAGTGGAGATTTCAAGCGATTTTACGCCAATCTTAGACATGGAAATATCTTCATATTAAAAGTACACAGAGTCATTCGTAGAAACTAGTTTGTGATGTGTGCCTTCAACTCACAGAGTTTAACCTTTCTTTTCATAGAGCAGTTTGGAAACACTCTATTTGTAAAGTCTGCAAGTGGATATTTGGACCTCTTTGAGGCCTTCATTGGAAACGGGATTTCCTCATACAACGCTAGACAGAAGAATTCTCAGTAACTTCTTTGTGTTGTGTGTATTCAACTCACAGAGTTGAACCCTTCTTTAGAGAGAGCAGAGTTGAAACACTCTTTTTGTGGAATTTGCTAGTGCAGATTTCAAACGCTTCGAAGACAGTGATAGAAAAGGATATATCTTCGTATTAAAACTAGACATAATCATTCTCAACAACTACTTTGTGATGTGTGCGTTCAACTCACAGAGTTTAACCTTTCTTTTCATAGAGCAGTTTGGAAACACTCTGTTTGTAAAGTCTGCAGGTGCTTATTTGGACTTCTTTGAGGCCTTCGTTGGAAACGGGATTTCTTCATATAATGCTAGACAGAAGAATTCTCAGTCACTTCTTTGTGTTGTGTGTATTCAAGTCACAGAGCTGAACCTTCCTTTACACAGAGCAGTTTTGAAAACCTCTTTCTGTGGAATTTGCAAGTGGAGATTTCAAGCGATTTGAGGCTAATCTTTGAAATGGAAATATCTTCGTGTAAAAACTACACAGAATCATTCTCAGAAACTGCTTTGTTATGTGTGCGTTCAGCTCACAGAGTTCCACCTTTCTTTTCATAGAGCAGTTTGGAAAGACTCTGTCTGTAAAGTCTTCAAGTGATTACTTGGACCCCTTTGAGGACTTCGTTGGAAGCGGGATTTTTTCATTTACTGCTAGACAGAAGAATTCTCAGTAAATCCTTTGTGTTGTGTGTATTCAACTCACAGAGTGGAACCTTCCTTTATTCAGAGCAGTTTTGAAACACTCTTTTTGTGGAATTTGCAAGTGGAGATTTCAAGCGAATTCACGCCAATCTTAGACATGGAAACATCTTCGTATTAAAAGTACACAGAGTCATTCGCAGAAACTAGTTTGTGATGTGTGCCTTCAACTCACAGAGTTTAACCTTTCTTTTCATAGAGCAGTTTGGAAACACTCTATTTGTAAAGTCTGCAAGTGGATATTTGGACCTCTTTGAGGCCTTCGTTGGAAACGGGATTTCTTCATATAACGCTAGACAGAAGAATTCTCAGTAACTTCTTTGTGTTGTGTGTATTCCACTCACAGAGTTGAACCTTTCTTGAGAGAGAGCAGAGTTGAAACACTCTGTTTGTGGAATTTGCTAGTGCAGATTTCAAACGCTTCGAAGACAGTGATAGAAAAGGATATATCTTCGTATTAAAACTAGACAAAATCGTTCTCAGAAAACACTTTGTGATGTGTGTGTTCAACTCACAGAGTTTAACCTTTCTTTAATCGAGCAGTTTGGAAATACACTCTTTGTAAGTCTGCAGCTGGATAATTGTCCCTCTATGAGCCCTTCGTTGGAAACGGGATTTCCTCATATAATGCTAGACAGAAGAATTCTCAGTAACTTCTTTGTGTTGTTTGTATTCAACTCACAGATTTGAACCTTCCTTTGGAGAGAGCAGATTTGAAACACTCTGTTTTTGGAATTTGCAAGTGCAGATTGCAAGCGCTTCTAGGCCTATGGCAGAAAAGGAAATATCTTCGTATAAAAACTACACAGAATCATTCTCAACAACTACTTTGTGATGTGTGCGTTCAGCTCACAGAGTTTAACCTTTCTTTTCATAGAGCAGTTTGGAAACACTCTGTTTGTAAAGTCTGCAGGTGCTTATTTGGACTTCTTTGAGGCCTTCGTTGGAAACGGGATTTCTTCATATAATGCTAGACAGAAGAATTCTCAGTCACTTCTTTGTGTTGTGTGTATTCAAGTCACAGAGTTGAACCTTCCTTTACACAGAGCAGTTTTGAAAACCTCTTTCTGTGGAATTTGCAAGTGGAGATTTCAAGCGATTTGAGGCTAATCTTTGAAATGGAAATATCTTCGTGTAAAATCTACACAGAAGCATTCTCAGAAACTGCTTTGTCATCTGTGCGTTCAGTTCACAGAGTTTCACCTTTCTCTTCATAGAGCAGTTTGGAAAGACTCTGTCTTTAAAGTCTGCAAGTGATTAGTTAGACCCCTTTGAGGCCTTCGTTGGAAGCGGGACTTCTCATTTACTGCTAGACAGAAGAATTCTCAGTAAATCCTTTGTGTTGTGTGTATTCAACTCACAGAGTGGAACCTTCCTTTATTCAGAGCAGTTTTGAAAAACACTTTTAGTGGAATTTGCAAGTGGAGATTTCAAGCGATTTGACGCCAATCTTAGACATGGAAATATCTTCATATTAAAAGTACACAGAGTCATTCGTAGAAACTAGTTTGTGATGTGTGCCTTCAACTCACAGTTTAACCTTTCTTTTCATAGAGCAGTTGGGAAACACTCTATTTGTAAAGTCTGCAAGTGGATATTTGGACCTCTTTGAGACCTTCGTTGGAAACGGGATTTCTTCATATAACGCTAGACAGAAGAATTCTCAGTAACTTCTTTGTGTTGTGTGTATTCAACTCACCGAGTAGAACCTTTCTTTAGAGATAGCAGAGTTGAAACACTCTTCTTGTGGAATTTGCTAGTGTAGATTTCAAACGCTTCGAAGACAGTGATAGAAAAGGATATATCTTCGTATTAAAACTAGACAAAATCATTCTCAACAACTACTTTGTGATGTGTGCGTTCAACTCACAGAGTTTAACCTTTCTTTTCATAGAGCAGTTTGGAAACACTCTGTTTGTAAAGTCTGCAGGTGCTTATTTGGACTTCTTTGAGGCCTTCGTTGGAAACGGGATTTCTTCATGTAATGCTAGACAGAAGAATTCTCAGTCACTTCTTTGTGTTGTGTGTATTCAAGTCACAGAGTTGAACCTTCCTTTACACAGAGCAGTTTTGAAAAACTCTTTCTGTGGAATTTGCAAGTGGAGATTTCAAGCGATTTGAGGCTAATGCTTTGAAATGGAAATAGCTTCGTGTAAAAACTACACAGAATCATTTTCAGAAACTGCTTTGTCATCTGTGCGTTCAGTTCACAGAGTTTCACCTTTCTCTTCATAGAGCAGTTTGGAAAGACTCTGTCTGTAAAGTCTGCAAGTGATTAGTTAGACCCCTTTGAGGCCTTCGTTGGAAGCGGGATTTCTCATTTACTGCTAGACAGAAGAATTCTCAGTAAATCCTTTGTGTTGTGTGTATTCAACTCACAGAGTGGAACCTTCCTTTATTCAGAACACTTTTGAAACACTCTTTTTGTGGAATTTGCAGGTGGAGATTTCAAGCGAATTCACGCCAATCTTAGACATGGAAACATCTTCGTATTAAAAGTACACAGAGTCATTTGCAGAAACTAGTTTGTGATGTGTGCCTTCAACTCACGGAGTTTAACCTTTCTTTTCATAGAGCAGTTTGGAAACACTCTATTTGTAAAGTCTGCAAGTGGATATTTGGACCTCTTTGAGGCCTTCGTTGGAAACGGGATTTCTTCATATAACGCTAGACAGAAGAACTCTCAGTAACTTCTTTGTGTTGTTTGTATTCAACTCACAGATTTGAACCTTCCTTTGGAGAGAGCAGATTTGAAACACTCTGTTTTTGGAATTTGCAAGTGCAGATTGCAAGCGCTTCTAGGCCTATGGCAGAAAAGGAAATATCTTCGTATAAAAACTACACAGAATCATTCTCAACAACTACTTTGTCATGTGTGCGTTCAACTCACAGAGTTTAACCTTTCTTTTCATAGAGCAGTTTGGAAACACCCTGTTTGTAAAGTCTGCAGGTGCTTATTTGGACTTCTTTGAGGCCTTCGTTGGAAACGGGATTTCTTCATATAATGCTAGACAGAAGAATTCTCAGTCACTTCTTTGTGTTGTGTGTATTCAAGTCACAGAGTTGAACCTTCCTTTACACAGAGCAGTTTTGAAAAACTCTTTCTGTGGAATTTGCAAGTGGAGATTTCAAGCGATTTGAGGCTAATCTTTGAAATGGAAATATCTTCGTGTAAAAACTACACAGAATCATTGTCAGAAACTGCTTTGTTATGTGTGCGTTCAGCTCACAGAGTTCCACCTTTGTTTTCATAGAGCAGTTTGGAAAGACTCTGTCTGTAAAGTCTGCAAGTGATTACTTGGACCCCTTTGAGGACTTCGTTGGAAGCGGGATTTTTTCATTTACTGCTAGACAGAAGAATTCTCAGTAAATCCTTTGTGTTGTGTGTATTCAACTCACAGAGTGGAACCTTCCTTTATTCAGAGCAGTTTTGAAACACTCTTTTTGTGGAATTTGCAAGTGGAGATTTCAAGCGAATTCACGCCAATCTTAGACATGGAAACATCTTCGTATTAAAAGTACACAGAGTCATTCGCAGAAACTAGTTTGTGATGTGTGCGTTCAACTCACAGAGTTTAACCTTTCTTTTCATAGAGCAGTTTGGAAACACTCTGTTTGTAAAGTCTGCAGGTGCTTATTTGGACTTCTTTGAGGCCTTCGTTGGAAACGGGATTTCTTCATATAATGCTAGACAGAAGAATTCTCAGTCACTTCTTTGTGTTGTGTGTATTCAAGTCACAGAGTTGAACCTTCCTTTACACAGAGCAGTTTTGAAAAACTCTTTCTGTGGAATTTGCAAGTGGAGATTTCAAGCGATTTGAGGCTAATCTTTGAAATGGAAATATCTTCGTGTAAAAACTACACAGAATCATTCTCAGAAACTGCTTTGTTATGTGTGCGTTCAGCTCACAGAGTTCCACCTTTCTTTTCATAGAGCAGTTTGGAAAGACTCTGTCTGTAAAGTCTGCAAGTGATTACTTGGACCCCTTTGAGGACTTCGTTGGAAGCGGGATTTTTTCATTTACTGCTAGACAGAAGAATTCTCAGTAAATCCTTTGTGTTGTGTGTATTCAACCTTCCTTTATTCAGAGCAGTTTTGAAACACTCTTTTTGTGGAATTTGCAAGTGGAGATTTCAAGCGAATTCATGCCAATCTTAGACATGGAAACATCTTCGTATTAAAAGTACACAGAGTCATTTGCAGAAACTAGTTTGTGATGTGTGCCTTCAACTCACGGAGTTTAACCTTTCTTTTCATAGAGCAGTTTGGAAACACTCTATTTGTAAAGTCTGCAAGTGGATATTTGGACCTCTTTGAGGCCTTCGTTGGAAACGGGATTTCTTCATATAACGCTAGACAGAAGAATTCTCAGTAACTTCTTTGTGTTGTTTGTATTCAACTCACAGATTTGAACCTTCCTTTAGAGAGAGCAGATTTGAAACACTCTGTTTTTGGAATTTGCAAGTGCAGATTACAAGCGCTTCTAGGCCTATGGCAGAAAAGGAAATATCTTCGTATAAAAACTACACAGAATCATTCTCGACAACTACTTTGTGATGTGTGCGTTCAACTCACAGAGTTTAACCTTTCTTTTCATAGAGCAGTTTGGAAACACTCTGTTTGTAAAGTCTGCAGGTGCTTATTTGGACTTCTTTGAGGCCTTCGTTGGAAACGGGATTTCTTCATATAATGCTAGACAGAAGAATTCTCAGTCACTTCCTTGTGTTGTGTGTATTCAAGTCACAGAGTTGAACCTTCCTTTACACAGAGCAGTTTTGAAAAACTCTTTCTGTGGAATTTGCAAGTGGAGATTTCAAGCGATTTGAGGCTAATCTTTGAAATGGAAATAGCTTCGTGTAAAAACTACACAGAATCATTCTCAGAAACTGCTTTGTTATGTGTGCGTTCAGCTCACAGAGTTCCACCTTTCTTTTCATAGAGCAGTTTGGAAAGACTCTGTCTGTAAAGTCTGCAAGTGATTACTTGGACCCCTTTGAGGACTTCGTTGGAAGCGGGATTTTTTCATTTACTGCTAGACAGAAGAATTCTCAGTAAATCCTTTGTGTTGTGTGTATTCAACTCACAGAGTGGAACCTTCCTTTATTCAGAGCAGTTTTGAAACACTCTTTTTGTGGAATTTGCAAGTGGAGATTTCAAGCGAATTCACGCCAATCTTAGACATGGAAACATCTTCGTATTAAAAGTACACAGAGTCATTCGCAGAAACTAGTTTGTGATGTGTGCCTTCAACTCACAGAGTTTAACCTTTCTTTTCATAGAGCAGTTTGGAAACACTCTATTTGTAAAGTCTGCAAGTGGATATTTGGACCTCTTTGAGGCCTTCGTTGGAAACGGGATTTCTTCATATAACGCTAGACAGAAGAATTCTCAGTAACTTCTTTGTGTTGTGTGTATTCCACTCACAGAGTTGAACCTTTCTTGAGAGAGAGCAGAGTTGAAACACTCTGTTTGTGGAATTTGCTAGTGCAGATTTCAAACGCTTCGAAGACAGTGATAGAAAAGGATATATCTTCGTATTAAAACTAGACAAAATCATTCTCAGAAAACACTTTGTGATGTGTGTGTTCAACTCACAGAGTTTAACCTTTCTTTAATCGAGCAGTTTGGAAATACACTCTTTGTAAGTCTGCAGCTGGATAATTGTCCCTCTATGAGCCCTTCGTTGGAAACGGGATTTCCTCTTATAATGCTAGACAGAAGAATTCTCAGTAACTTCTTTGTGTTGTTTGTATTCAACTCACAGATTTGAACCTTCCTTTGGAGAGAGCAGATTTGAAACACTCTGTTTTTGGAATTTGCAAGTGCAGATTGCAAGCGCTTCTAGGCCTATGGCAGAAAAGGAAATATCTTCGTATAAAAACTACACAGAATCATTCTCAACAACTACTTTGTGATGTGTGCGTTCAACTCACAGAGTTTAACCTTTCTTTTCATAGAGCAGTTTGGAAACACTCTGTTTGTAAAGTCTGCAGGTGCTTATTTGGACTTCTTTGAGGCCTTCGTTGGAAACGGGATTTCTTCATATAATGCTAGACAGAAGAATTCTCAGTCACTTCTTTGTGTTGTGTGTATTCAAGTCACAGAGTTGAACCTTCCTTTACACAGAGCAGTTTTGAAAAACTCTTTCTGTGGAATTTGCAAGTGGAGATTTCAAGCGATTTGAGGCTAATCTTTGAAATGGAAATATCTTCGTGTAAAAACTACACAGAATCATTCTCAGAAACTGCTTTGTTATGTGTGCGTTCAGCTCACAGAGTTCCACCTTTCTTTTCATAGAGCAGTTTGGAAAGACTCTGTCTGTAAAGTCTGCAAGTGATTACTTGGACCCCTTTGAGGACTTCGTTGGAAGCGGGATTTTTTCATTTACTGCTAGACAGAAGAATTCTCAGTAAATCCTTTGTGTTGTGTGTATTCAACTCACAGAGTGGAACCTTCCTTTATTCAGAGCAGTTTTGAAACACTCTTTTTGTGGAATTTGCAAGTGGAGATTTCAAGCGAATTCACGCCAATCTTAGACATGGAAACATCTTCGTATTAAAAGTACACAGAGTCATTCGCAGAAACTAGTTTGTGATGTGTGCCTTCAACTCACGGAGTTTAACCTTTCTTTTCATAGAGCAGTTTGGAAACACTCTATCTGTAAAGTCTGTAAGTGGATATTTGGACCTCTTTGAGGCCTTCGTTGGAAACGGGATTTCTTCATATAACGCTAGACAGAAGAATTCTCAGTAACTTCTTTGTGTTGTGTGTATTCAACTCACAGAGTTGAACCTTTCTTGAGAGAGAGCAGAGTTGAAACACTCTTTCTGTGGAATTTGCTAGTGCAGATTTCAAACGCTTCGAAGACAGTGATAGAAAAGGATATATCTTCGTATTAAAACTAGACAAAATCATTCTCAGAAAACACTTTGTGATGTGTGTGTTCAACTCACAGAGGTTAACCTTTCTTTAATCGAGCAGTTTCGAAATACACTCTTTGTAAGTCTGCAGCTGGATAATTGTCCCTCTATGAGCCCTTCGTTGGAAACGGGATTTCCTCTTATAATGCTAGACAGAAGAATTCTCAGTAACTTCTTTGTGTTGTTTGTATTCAACTCACAGATTTGAACCTTCCTTTAGAGAGAGCAGATTTGAAACACTCTGTTTTTGGAATTTGCAAGTGCAGATTACAAGCGCTTCTAGGCCTATGGCAGAAAAGGAAATATCTTCGTATAAAAACTACACAGAATCATTCTCGACAACTACTTTGTGATGTGTGCGTTCAACTCACAGAGTTTAACCTTTCTTTTCATAGAGCAGTTTGGAAACACTCTGTTTGTAAAGTCTGCAGGTGCTTATTTGGACTTCTTTGAGGCCTTCGTTGGAAACGGGATTTCTTCATATAATGCTAGACAGAAGAATTCTCAGTCACTTCTTTGTGTTGTGTGTATTCAAGTCACAGAGTTGAACCTTCCTTTACACAGAGCAGTTTTGAAAAACTCTTTCTGTGGAATTTGCAAGTGGAGATTTCAAGCGATTTGAGGCTAATCTTTGAAATGGAAATAGCTTCGTGTAAAAACTACACAGAATCATTCTCAGAAACTGCTTTGTCATCTGTGCGTTCAGCTCACAGAGTTCCACCTTTCTTTTCATAGAGCAGTTTGGAAAGACTCTGTCTGTAAAGTCTGCAAGTGATTACTTGGACCCCTTTGAGGACTTCGTTGGAAGCGGGATTTTTTCATTTACTGCTAGACAGAAGAATTCTCAGTAAATCCTTTGTGTTGTGTGTATTCAACTCACAGAGTGGAACCTTCCTTTATTCAGAGCAGTTTTGAAACACTCTTTTTGTGGAATTTGCAAGTGGAGATTTCAAGCGAATTCACGCCAATCTTAGACATGGAAACATCTTCGTATTAAAAGTACACAGAGTCATTCGCAGAAACTAGTTTGTGATGTGTGCCTTCAACTCACGGAGTTTAACCTTTCTTTTCATAGAGCAGTTTGGAAACACTCTATTTGTAAAGTCTGCAAGTGGATATTTGGACCTCTTTGAGGCCTTCGTTGGAAACGGGATTTCTTCATATAACGCTAGACAGAAGAATTCTCAGTAACTTCTTTGTGTTGTGTGTATTCAACTCACAGAGTTGAACCTTTCTTGAGAGAGAGCAGAGTTGAAACACTGTTTCTGTGGAATTTGCTAGTGCAGATTTCAAACGCTTCGAAGACAGTGATAGAAAAGGATATATCTTCGTATTAAAACTAGACAAAATCATTCTCAGAAAACACTTTGTGATGTGTGTGTTCAACTCACAGAGTTTAACCTTTCTTTAATCGAGCAGTTTGGAAATACACTCTTTGTAAGTCTGCAGCTGGATAATTGTCCCTCTATGAGCCCTTCGTTGGAAACAGGATTTCCTCTTATAATGCTAGACAGAAGAATTCTCAGTAACTTCTTTGTGTTGTTTGTATTCAACTCACAGATTTGAACCTTCCTTTAGAGAGAGCAGATTTGAAACACTCTGTTTTTGGAATTTGCAAGTGCAGATTACAAGCGCTTCTAGGCCTATGGCAGAAAAGGAAATATCTTCGTATAAAAACTACACAGAATCATTCTCGACAACTACTTTGTGATGTGTGCGTTCAACTCACAGAGTTTAACCTTTCTTTTCATAGAGCAGTTTGGAAACACTCTGTTTGTAAAGTCTGCAGGTGCTTATTTGGACTTCTTTGAGGCCTTCGTTGGAAACGGGATTTATTCATGTAATGCTAGACAGAAGAATTCTCAGTCACTTCTTTGTGTTGTGTGTATTCAAGTCACAGAGTTGAACTTTCCTTTACAGAGAGCAGTTTTGAAAAACTCTTTCTGTGGAATTTGCAAGTGGAGATTTCAAGCGATTTGAGGCTAATCTTTGAAATGGAAATAGCTTCGTGTAAAAACTACACAGAATCATTCTCAGAAACTGCTTTGTTATGTGTGCGTTCAGCTCACAGAGTTCCACCTTTCTTTTCATAGAGCAGTTTGGAAAGACTCTGTCTGTAAAGTCTGCAAGTGATTACTTGGACCCCTTTGAGGACTTCGTTGGAAGCGGGATTTTTTCATTTACTGCTAGACAGAAGAATTCTCAGTAAATCCTTTGTGTTGTGTGTATTCAACTCACAGAGTGGAACCTTCCTTTGTTCAGAGCACTTTTGAAACACTCTTTTTGTGGAATTTGCAAGTGGAGATTTCAAGCGAATTCACGCCAATCTTAGACATGGAAACATCTTCGTATTAAAAGTACACAGAGTCATTTGCAGAAACTAGTTTGTGATGTGTGCCTTCAACTCACGGAGTTTAACCTTTCTTTTCATAGAGCAGTTTGGAAACACTCTATTTGTAAAGTCTGCAAGTGGATATTTGGACCTCTTTGAGGCCTTCGTTGGAAACGGGATTTCTTCATATAACGCTAGACAGAAGAATTCTCAGTAACTTCTTTGTGTTGTGTGTATTCAAGTCACAGAGTTGAACCTTCCTTTACACAGAGCAGTTTTGAAAAACTCTTTCTGTGGAATTTGCAAGTGGAGATTTCAAGCGATTTGAGGCTAATCTTTGAAATGGAAATAGCTTCGTGTAAAAACTACACAGAATCATTCTCAGAAACTGCTTTGTTATGTGTGCGTTCAGCTCACAGAGTTCCACCTTTCTTTTCATAGAGCAGTTTGGAAAGACTCTGTCTGTAAAGTCTGCAAGTGATTACTTGGACCCCTTTGAGGACTTCGTTGGAAGCGGGATTTTTTCATTTACTGCTAGACAGAAGAATTCTCAGTAAATCCTTTGTGTTGTGTGTATTCAACTCACAGAGTGGAACCTTCCTTTATTCAGAGCAGTTTTGAAACACTCTTTTTGTGGAAATTGCAAGTGGAGATTTCAAGCGAATTCACGCCAATCTTAGACATGGAAACATCTTCGTATTGAAAGTACACAGAGTCATTCGCAGAAACTAGTTTGTGATGTGTGCCTTCAACTCACGGAGTTTAACCTTTCTTTTCATAGAGCAGTTTGGAAACACTCTCTTTGTAAAGTCTGCAAGTGGATATTTGGACCTCTTTGAGGCCTTCGTTGGAAACGGGATTTCTTCATATAACGCTAGACAGAAGAATTCTCAGTAACTTCTTTGTGTTGTGTGTATTCCACTCACAGAGTTGAACCTTTCTTGAGAGAGAGCAGAGTTGAAACACTCTTTCTGTGGAATTTGCTAGTGCAGATTTCAAACGCTTCGAAGACAGTGATAGAAAAGGATATATCTTCGTATTAAAACTAGACAAAATCATTCTCAGAAAACACTTTGTGATGTGTGTGTTCAACTCACAGAGTTTAACCTTTCTTTAATCGAGCAGTTTGGAAATACACTCTTTGTAAGTCTGCAGCTGGATAATTGTCCCTCTAGGAGCCCTTCGTTGGAAACGGGATTTCCTCTTATAATGCTAGACAGAAGAATTCTCAGTCACTTCTTTGTGTTGTGTGTATTCAAGTCACAGAGTTGAAACTTCCTTTAGACCGAGCAGTTTTGAAAAACTCTTTGTGTGGAATTTGCAAGTGGTGATTTCATGCGATTTGAGGCCAATCTTTGAAATGGAAATATCTTCGTGTACAAACTACACAGAATCATTCTCAGAAACTGCTTTGTTATGTGTGCGTTCAACTCACAGAGTTTCACCTTTCTTTTCATTGAGCAGTTTGGAAAGACTCTGTCTGTAAAGTCTGCAAGTGAATACTTGGATTCCTTGGAGGCATTCGTTGGAAGCTTGATTTTTTCACTTACTGCTAGACAGAAGAATTCTCAGTAAATCCTTTGTGTTGTGTGTATTCAACTCACAGCGTTGAACCTTTCTTTAGAGAGAGCAGAGTTGAAACACTCTTTTTGTGGAATTTGCTAGTGCAGATTTCAAACGCTTCGAAGACAATGATAGAAAAGGATATATCTTCGTATTAAAACTAGACAAAATCATTCTCAGAAAACACTTTGTGATGTGTGTGTTCAACTCACAGAGTTTAACCTTTCTTTAATTGAGCAGTTTGGAAATACACTCTTTGTAAGTCTGCAGGTGGATAATTGGCCCTCTTTGAGCCCTTCGTTGGAAACGGGATTTCCTCATATAATGCTAGACAGAAGAATTCTCAGTAACTTCTTTGTGTTGTTTGTATTCAACTCACAGATTTAAACCTTCCTTTAGAGAGAGCAGATTTTAAACACTCTGTTTGTGGAATTTGCAAGTGCAGATTTCAAGCGCTTCTAGGCCTATGGCAGAAAAGGAAATATCTTCGTATAAAAACTACACAGAGTCATTCGCAGAAACTAGTTTGTGATGTGTGCGTTCAACTCACAGAGTTTAACCTTTCTTTTCATAGAGCAGTTTGGAAACACTCTGTTTGTAAAGTCTGCAGGTGCTTATTTGGACTTCTTTGAGGCCTTCGTTGGATACGGGATTTCTTCATATAATGCTAGACAGAAGAATTCTCAGTCACTTCTTTGTGTTGTGTGTATTCAAGTCACAGAGTTGAACCTTCCTTTACACAGAGCAGTTTTGAAAAACTCTTTCTGTGGAATTTGCAAGTGGAGATTTCAAGCGATTTGAGGCTAATCTTTGAAATGGAAATAGCTTCGTGTAAAAACTACACAGAATCATTCTCAGAAACTGCTTTGTTATGTGTGCGTTCAGCTCACAGAGTTCCACCTTTCTTTTCATAGAGCAGTTTGGAAAGACTCTGTCTGTAAAGTCTGCAAGTGATTACTTGGACCCCTTTGAGGACTTCGTTGGAAGCGGGATTTTTTCATTTACTGCTAGACAGAAGAATTCTCAGTAAATCCTTTGTGTTGTGTGTATTCAACTCACAGAGTGGAACCTTCCTTTATTCAGAGCACTTTTGAAACACTCTTTTTGTGGAATTTGCAAGTGGAGATTTCAAGCGAATTCACGCCAATCTTAGACATGGAAACATCTTCGTATTAAAAGTACACAGAGTCATTCGCAGAAACTAGTTTGTGATGTGTGCCTTCAACTCACAGAGTTTAACCTTTCTTTTCATAGAGCAGTTTGGAAACACTCTATTTGTAAAGTCTGCAAGTGGATATTTGGACCTCTTTGAGGCCTTCGTTGGAAACGGGATTTCTTCATATAACGCTAGACAGAAGAATTCTCAGTAACTTCTTTGTGTTGTGTGTATTCCACTCACAGAGTTGAACCTTTCTTGAGAGAGAGCAGAGTTGAAACACTCTGTTTGTGGAATTTGCTAGTGCAGATTTCAAACGCTTCGAAGACAGTGATAGAAAAGGATATATCTTCGTATTAAAAGTAGACAAAATCATTCTCAGAAAACACTTTGTGATGTGTGTGTTCAACTCACAGAGTTTAACCTTTCTTTAATCGAGCAGTTTGGAAATACACTCTTTGTAAGTCTGCAGCTGGATAATTGTCCCTCTATGAGCCCTTCGTTGGAAACGGGATTTCCTCATATAATGCTAGACAGAAGAATTCTCAGTCACTTCTTTGTGTTGTGTGTATTCAAGTCACAGAGTTGAACCTTCCTTTACACAGAGCAGTTTTGAAAAACTCTTTCTGTGGAATTTGCAAGTGGAGATTTCAAGCGATTTGAGGCTAATCTTTGAAATGGAAATATCTTCGTGTAAAAACTACACAGAATCATTCTCAGAAACTGCTTTGTTATGTGTGCGTTCAGCTCACAGAGTTCCACCTTTCTTTTCATAGAGCAGTTTGGAAAGACTCTGTCTGTAAAGTCTGCAAGTGATTACTTGGACCCCTTTGAGGACTTCGTTGGAAGCGGGATTTTTTCATTTACTGCTAGACAGAAGAATTCTCAGTAAATCCTTTGTGTTGTGTGTATTCAACTCACAGAGTGGAACCTTCCTTTATTCAGAGCAGTTTTGAAACACTCTTTTTGTGGAATTTGCAAGTGGAGATTTCAAGCGAATTCACGCCAATCTTAGACATGGAAACATCTTCGTATTAAAAGTACACAGAGTCATTCGCAGAAACTAGTTTGTGATGTGTGCCTTCAACTCACGGAGTTTAACCTTTGTTTTCATAGAGCAGTTTGGAAACACTCTATTTGTAAAGTCTGCAAGTGGATATTTGGACCTCTTTGAGGCCTTCGTTGGAAACGGGATTTCTTCATATAACGCTAGACAGAAGAATTCTCAGTAACTTCTTTGTGTT
The DNA here is from genome assembly GCF_000001405.40 of Homo sapiens. NCBI lineage: Eukaryota > Metazoa > Chordata > Mammalia > Primates > Hominidae > Homo > Homo sapiens. Next base: position 40,703,254 of record NC_000010.11, read on the forward strand.
GTGTGTATTCCACTCACAGAGTTGAACCTTTCCTGAGAGAGAGCAGAGTTGAAACACTCTTTCTGTGGAATTTGCTAGTGCAGATTTCAAACGCTTCGAAGACAGTGATAGAAAAGGATATATCTTCGTATTAAAACTAGACAAAATCATTCTCAGAAAACACTTTGTGATGTGTGTGTTCAACTCACAGAGTTTAACCTTCCTTTAATCGAGCAGTTTGGAAATACACTCTTTGTAAGTCTGCAGCTGGATAATTGTCCCTCTATGAGCCCTTCGTTGGAAACGGGATTTCCTCATATAATGCTAGACAGAAGAATCCTCAGTAACTTCTTTGTGTTGTTTGTATTCAACTCACAGATTTGAACCTTCCTTTAGAGAGAGCAGATTTGAAACACTCTGGTTTTGGAATTTGCAAGTGCAGATTACAAGCGCTTCTAGGCCTATGGCAGAAAAGGAAATATCTTCGTATAAAAACTACACAGAATCATTCTCAACAACTACTTTGTGATGTGTGCGTTCAACTCACAGAGTTTAACCTTTCTTTTCATAGAGCAGTTTGGAAACACTCTGTTTGTAAAGTCTGCAGGTGCTTATTTGGACTTCTTTGAGGCCTTCGTTGGAAACGGGATTTCTTCATATAATGCTAGACAGAAGAATTCTCAGTCACTTCTTTGTGTTGTGTGTATTCAAGTCACAGAGTTGAACCTTCCTTTACACAGAGCAGTTTTGAAAAACTCTTTCTGTGGAATTTGCAAGTGGAGATTTCAAGCGATTTGAGGCTAATCTTTGAAATGGAAATATCTTCGTGTAAAAACTACACAGAATCATTCTCAGAAACTGCTTTGTTATGTGTGCGTTCAGCTCACAGAGTTCCACCTTTCTTTTCATAGAGCAGTTTGGAAAGACTCTGTCTGTAAAGTCTGCAAGTGATTACTTGGACCCCTTTGAGGACTTCGTTGGAAGCGGGATTTTTTCATTCACTGCTAGACAGAAGAATTCTCAGTAAATCCTTTGTGTTGTGTGTATTCAACTCACAGAGTGGAACCTTCCTTTATTCAGAGCAGTTTTGAAACACTCTTTTTGTGGAATTTGCAAGTGGAGATTTCAAGCAAATTCACGCCAATCTTAGACATGGAAACATCTTCGTATTAAAAGTACACAGAGTCATTCGCAGAAACTAGTTTGTGATGTGTGCCTTCAACTCACAGAGTTTAACCTTTCTTTTCATAGAGCAGTTTGGAAACACTCTATTTGTAAAGTCTGCAAGTGGATATTTGGACCTCTTTGAGGCCTTCGTTGGAAACGGGATTTCTTCATATAACGCCAGACAGAAGAATTCTCAGTAACTTCTTTGTGTTGTGTGTATTCCACTCACAGAGTTGAGCCTTTCTTGAGAGAGAGCAGAGTTGAAACACTCTTTTTGTGGAATTTGCTAGTGCAGATTTCAAACGCTTCGAAGACAGTGATAGAAAAGGATATATCTTCGTATTAAAACTAGACAAAATCATTCTCAACAACTACTTTGTGATGTGTGCGTTCAACTCACAGAGTTTAACCTTTCTTTTCATAGAGCAGTTTGGAAACACTCTGTTTGTAAAGCCTGCAAGTGCTTTTTTGGACTTCATTGAGGCCTTCGTTGGAAACGGGATTTCTTCATATAATGCTAGACAGAAGAATTCTCAGTCACTTCTTTGTGTTGTGTGTATTCAAGTCACAGAGTTGAACCTTCCTTTAGACAGAGCAGTTTTGAAAAATTCTTTCTGTGGAGTTTGCAAGTGGAGATTTCCAGCGATTTGAGGCTAATTCTTTGAAATGGAAATATCTTCGTGTAAAAACTACACAGAATCATTCTCAGAAACTGCTTTGTCATCTGTGCGTTCAGTTCACAGAGTTTCACCTTTCTCTTCATAGAGCAGTTTGGAAAGACTCTGTCTGTAAAGTCTGCAAGTGATTAGTTAGACCCCTTTGAGGCCTTCGTTGGAAGCGGGATTTCCCATTTACTGCTAGACAGAAGAATTCTCAGTAAATCCTTTGTGTTGTGTGTATTCAACTCACAGAGTGGAACCTTCCTTTATTCAGAGCAGTTTTGAAAAACACTTTTTGTGGAATTTGCAAGTGGAGATTTCAAGCGATTTGACGCCAATCTTAGACATGGAAATATCTTCATATTAAAAGTACACAGAGTCATTCGTAGAAACTGGTTTGTGATGTGTGCCTTCAACTCACAGAGTTTAACCTTTCTTTTCATAGAGCAGTTTGGAAACACTCTATTTGTAAAGTCTGCAAGTGGATATTTGGACCTCTTTGAGGCCTTCGTTGGAAACGGGATTTCTTCATATAACGCTAGACAGAAGAATTCTCAGTAACTTCTTTGTGTTGTTTGTATTCAACTCACAGAGTTGAACCTTTCTTTAGAGAGAGCAGAGTTGAAACACTCTGTTTTTGGAATTTGCAAGTGCAGATTTCAAGCGATTCTAGGCCTATGGGAGAAAAGGAAATATCTTCGTATAAAAACTACACAGAATCATTCTCAACAACTACTTTGTGATGTGTGCGTTCAACTCACAGAGTTTTACCTTTCTTTTCATAGAGCAGTTTGGAAACACTCTGTTTGTAAAGCCTGCAAGTGCTTTTTTGGACTTCATTGAGGCCTTCTTTGGAAACGGGATTTCTTCATATAATGCTAGACAGAAGAATTCTCAGTCACTTCTTTGTGTTGTGTGTATTCAAGTCACAGAGTTGGACCTTCCTTTAGACAGAGCAGTTTTGAAAAATTCTTTCTGTGGAGTTTGCAAGTGGAGATTTCAAGCAATTTGAGGCTAATCTTTGAAATGGAAATATCTTCGTGTAAAAACTACACAGAATCATTCTCAGAAACTGCTTTGTCATCTGTGCGTTCAGTTCACAGAGTTTCACCTTTCTCTTCATAGAGCAGTTTGGAAAGACTCTGTCTGTAAAGTCTGCAAGTGACTAGTTAGACCCCTTTGAGGCCTTCGTTGGAAGCGGGATTTCTCATTTACTGCTAGACAGAAGAATTCTCAGTAAATCCTTTGTGTTGTGTGTATTCAACTCACAGAGTGGAACCTTCCTTTATTCAGAGAAGTTTTGAAAAACAATTTTTGTGGAATTTGCAAGTGGAGATTTCAAGCGATTTGACGCCAATCTTAGACATGGAAATATCTTCATATTAAAAGTACAGAGAGTCATTCGTAGAAACTAGTTTGCGATGTGTGCCTTCAACTCACAGAGTTTAACCTTTCTTTTCATAGAGCAGTTTGGAAACACTCTGTTTGTAAAGCCTGCAAGTGCTTTTTTGGACTTCATTGAGGCCTTCGTTGGAAACGGGATTTCTTCATATAATGCTAGACAGAAGAATTCTCAGTAACTTCTTTGTGTTGTGTGTATTCAACTCACAGAGTTCAACTTTTCTTTAGAGAGAGCAGAGTTGAAACACTCTTTTTGTGGAATTTGCTAGTGCAGATTTCAAACGCTTCGAAGACTGTGATAGAAAAGGATATATCTTCGTATTAAAACTAGACAAAATCATTCTCAGAAAACACTTTGTGATGTGTGTGTTCAACTCACAGAGTTTAACCTTTCTTTAATCGAGCAGTTTGGAAATACACTCTTTGTAAGTCTGCAGCTGGATAATTGTCCCTCTATGAGCCCTTCGTTGGAAACAGGATTTCCTCTTATAATGCTAGACAGAAGAATTCTCAGTCACTTCTTTGTGTTGTGTGTATTCAAGTCACAGAGTTGAACCTTCCTTTAGACAGAGCAGTTTTGAAAAATTCTTTCTGTGGAGTTTGCAAGTGGAGATTTGAAGCGATTTGAGGCTAATCTTTGAAATGGAAATATCTTCATGTAAAAACTACACAGAATCATTCTCAGAAACTGCTTTGTTATGTGTGCGTTCAGCTCACAGAGTTCCACCTTTCTTTTCATAGAGCAGTTTGGAAAGACTCTGTCTGTAAAGTCTGCAAGTGATTACTTGGACCCCTTTGAGGACTTCGTTGGAAGCGGGATTTTTTCATTTACTGCTAGACAGAAGAATTCTCAGTAAATCCTTTGTGTTGTGTGTATTCAACTCACAGAGTGGAACCTTCCTTTATTCAGAGCAGTTTTGAAACACTCTTTTTGTGGAATTTGCAAGTGGAGATTTCAAGCGAATTCACGCCAATCTTAGACATGGAAACATCTTCGTATTAAAAGTACACAGAGTCATTCGCAGAAACTAGTTTGTGATGTGTGCCTTCAACTCACAGAGTTTAACCTTTCTTTTCATAGAGCAGTTTGGAAACACTCTATTTGTAAAGTCTGCAAGTGGATATTTGGACGTCTTTGCGGCCTTCGTTGGAAACGGGATTTCTTCATATAACGCTAGACAGAAGAATTCTCAGTAACTTCTTTGTGTTGTGTGTATTCCACTCACAGAGTTGAACCTTTCTTGAGAGAGAGCAGAGTTGAAACACTCTGTTTGTGGAATTTGCTAGTGCCGATTTCAAACGCTTCGAAGACAGTGATAGAAAAGGATATATCTTCGTATTAAAACTAGACAAAATCATTCTCAGAAAACACTTTGTGATGTGTGTGTTCAACTCACAGAGTTTAACCTTCCTTTAATCGAGCAGTTTGGAAATACACTCTTTGTAAGTCTGCAGCTGGATAATTGTCCCTCTATGAGCCCTTCGTTGGAAACGGGATTTCCTCATATAATGCTAGACAGAAGAATTCTCAGTCACTTCTTTGTGTTGTGTGTATTCAAGTCACAGAGTTGAACCTTCCTTTACACAGAGCAGTTTTGAAAAACTCTTTCTGTGGAATTTGCAAGTGGAGATTTCAAGCGATTTGAGGCTAATCTTTGAAATGGAAATATCTTCGTGTAAAAACTACACAGAATCTTTCTCAGAAACTGCTTTGTTATGTGTGCGTTCAGCTCACAGAGTTCCACCTTTCTTTTCATAGAGCAGTTTGGAAAGACTCTGTCTGTAAAGTCTGCAAGTGATTACTTGGACCCCTTTGAGGACTTCGTTGGAAGCGGGATTTTTTCATTTACTGCTAGACAGAAGAATTCTCAGTAAATCCTTTGTGTTGTGTGTATTCAACTCACAGAGTGGAACCTTCCTTTATTCAGAGCAGTTTTGAAACACTCTTTTTGTGGAATTTGCAAGTGGAGATTTCAAGCGAATTCACGCCCATCTTAGACATGGAAACATCTTCGTATTAAAAGTACACAGAGTCATTCGCAGAAACTAGTTTGTGATGTGTGCGTTCAACTCACAGAGTTTAACCTTTCTTTTCATAGAGCAGTTTGGAAACACTCTGTTTGTAAAGTCTGCAGGTGCTTATTTGGACTTCTTTGAGGCCTTCATTGGAAACGGGATTTCTTCATATAATGCTAGACAGAAGAATTCTCAGTCACTTCTTTGTGTTGTGTGTATTCAAGTCACAGAGTTGAACCTTCCTTTACACAGAGCAGTTTTGAAAAACTCTTTCTGTGGAATTTGCAAGTGGAGATTTCAAGCGATTTGAGGCTAATCTTTGAAATGGAAATATCTTCGTGTAAAAACTACACAGAATCATTCTCAGAAACTGCTTTGTTATGTGTGCGTTCAGCTCACAGAGTTCCACCTTTCTTTTCATAGAGCAGTTTGGAAAGACTCTGTCTGTAAAGTCTGCAAGTGATTACTTGGACCCCTTTGAGGACTTCGTTGGAAGCGGGATTTTTTCATTTACTGCTAGACAGAAGAATTCTCAGTAAATCCTTTGTGTTGTGTGTATTCAACTCACAGAGTGGAACCTTCCTTTATTCAGAGCAGTTTTGAAACACTCTTTTTGTGGAATTTGCAAGTGGAGATTTCAAGCGAATTCACGCCAATCTTAGACATGGAAACATCTTCGTATTAAAAGTACACAGAGTCATTCGCAGAAACTAGTTTGTGATGTGTGCCTTCAACTCACGGAGTTTAACCTTTCTTTTCATAGAGCAGTTTGGAAACACTCTATTTGTAAAGTCTGCAAGTGGATATTTGGACCTCTTTGAGGCCTTCGTTGGAAACGGGATTTCTTCATATAACGCTAGACAGAAGAATTCTCAGTAACTTCTTTGTGTTGTGTGTATTCCACTCACAGAGTTGAACCTTTCTTGAGAGAGAGCAGAGTTGAAACACTCTGTTTGTGGAATTTGCTAGTGCAGATTTCAAACGCTTCGAAGACAGTGATAGAAAAGGATATATCTTCGTATTAAAACTAGACAAAATCATTCTCAACAACTACTTTGTGATGTGTGCATTCAACTCACAGAGTTTAAACTTTCGTTTCATAGAGCAGTTTGGAAATACTCTGTTTGTAAAGTCTGCAGGTGCTTATTTGGACTTCTTTGAGGCCTTCGTTGGAAACGGGATTTCTTCATATAATGCTAGACAGAAGCATTCTCAGTCACTTCTTTGTGTTGTGTGTATACAAGTCACAGAGTTGAACCTTCCTTTAGACAGAGCAGTTTTGAAAAACTCTTTCTGTGGAATTTGCAAGTGGAGAGTTCAAGCGATTTGAGGCTAATCTTTGAAATGGAAATATCTTCGTGTAAAAACTACACAGAATCATTCTCAGAAACTGCTTTGTCATCTGTGCGTTCAGTTCACAGAGTTTCACCTTTCTCTTCATAGAGCAGTTTGGAAAGACTCTGTCTGTAAAGTCTGCAAGTGATTAGTTAGACCCCATTGAGGCCTTCGTTGGAAGCGGGATTTCTCATTTACTGCTAGACAGAAGAATTCTCAGTAAATCCTTTGTGTTGTGTGTATTCAACTCACAGAGTGGAACCTTCCTTTATTCAGAGCAGTTTTGAAACACTCTTTTTGTGGAATTTGCAAGTGGAGATTTCAAGCGAATTCACGCCAATCTTAGACATGGAAACATCTTCGTATTAAAAGTACACAGAGTCATTCGCAGAAACTAGTTTGAGATGTGTGCCTTCAACTCACGGAGTTTAACCTTTCTTTTCATAGAGCAGTTTGGAAACACTCTATTTGTAAAGTCTGCAAGTGGATATTTGGACCTCTTTGAGGCCTTCGTTGGAAACGGGATTTCTTCATATAACGCTAGACAGAAGAATTCTCTGTAACTTCTTTGTGTTGTGTGTATTCCACTCACAGAGTTGAACCTTTCTTGAGAGAGAGCAGAGTTGAAACACTCTTTCTGTGGAATTTGCTAGTGCAGATTTCAAACGCTTCGAAGACAGTGATAGAAAAGGATATATCTTCGTATTAAAACTAGACAAAATCATTCTCAGAAAACACTTTGTGATGTGTGTGTTCAACTCACAGAGTTTAACCTTTCTTTAATCGAGCAGTTTGGAAATGCACTCTTTGTAAGTCTGCAGGTGGATAATTGTCCCTCTATGAGCCCTTCGTTGGAAACGGGATTTCCTCATATAATGCTAGACAGAAGAATTCTCAGTCACTTCTTTGTGTTGTGTGTATTCAAGTAACAGAGTTGAACCTTCCTTTACACAGAGCAGTTTTGAAAAACTCTTTCTGTGGAATTTGCAAGTGGAGATTTCAAGCGATTTGAGGCTAATCTTTGAAATGGAAATAGCTTCGTGTAAAAACTACACAGAATCATTCTCAGAAACTGCTTTGTTATGTGTGCGTTCAGCTCACAGAGTTCCACCTTTCTTTTCATAGAGCAGTTTGGAAAGACTCTGTCTGTAAAGTCTGCAAGTGATTACTTGGACCCCTTTGAGGACTTCGTTGGAAGCGGGATTTTTTCATTTACTGCTAGACAGAAGAATTCTCAGTAAATCCTTTGTGTTGTGTGTATTCAACTCACAGAGTGGAACCTTCCTTTATTCAGAGCACTTTTGAAACACTCTTTTTGTGGAATTTGCAAGTGGAGATTTCAAGCGAATTCACGCCAATCTTAGACATGGAAACATCTTCGTATTAAAAGTACACAGAGTCATTCGCAGAAACTAGTTTGTGATGTGTGCCTTCAACTCACGGAGTTTAACCTTTCTTTTCATAGAGCAGTTTGGAAACACTCTATTTGTAAAGTCTGCAAGTGGATATTTGGACCTCTTTGAGGCCTTCGTTGGAAACGGGATTTCTTCATATAACGCTAGACAGAAGAATTCTCAGTAACTTCTTTGTGTTGTGTGTATTCCACTCACAGAGTTGAACCTTTCTTGAGAGAGAGCAGAGTTGAAACACTCTTTTTGTGGAATTTGCTAGTGCAGATTTCAAACGCTTCGAAGACAGTGATAGAAAAGGATATATCTTCGTATTAAAACTAGACAAAATCATTCTCAGAAAACACTTTGTGATGTGTGTGTTCAACTCACAGAGTTTAACCTTTCTTTAATCGAGCAGTTTGGAAATACACTCTTTGTAAGTCTGCAGCTGGATAATTGTCCCTCTATGAGCCCTTCGTTGGAAACGGGATTTCCTCTTATAATGCTAGACAGAAGAATTCTCAGTCACTTCTTTGTGTTGTGTGTATTCAAGTCACAGAGTTGAACCTTCCTTTAGACAGAGCAGTTTTGAAAAATTCTTTCTGTGGAATTTGCAAGTGGAGATTTCAAGCGATTTGAGGCTAATCTTTGAAATGGAAATATCTTCGTGTAAAAACTACACAGAATCATTCTCAGAAACTGCTTTGTCATCTGTGCGTTCAGTTCACAGAGTTTCACCTTTCTCTTCATAGAGCAGTTTGGAAAGACTCTGTCTGTAAAGTCTGCAATTGATTAGTTAGACCCCTTTGAGGCCTTCGTTGGAAGCGGGATTTCTCATTAACTGCTAGACAGAAGAATTCTCAGTAAATCCTTTGTGTTGTGTGTATTCAACTCACAGAGTGGAACCTTCCTTTAGAGAGAGCAGAGTTGAAACACTCTGTTTTTGGAATTTGCAAGTGCAGATTTCAAGCGATTCTAGGCCTATGGCAGAAAAGGAAATATCTTCGTATAAAAACTACACAGAATCATTCTCAACAACTACTTTGTGATGTGTGCGTTCAACTCACAGAGTTTAACCTTTCTTTTCATAGAGCAGTTTGGAAACACTCTGTTTGTAAAGTCTGCAGGTGCTTATTTGGACTTCTTTGAGGCCTTCGTTGGAAACGGGATTTCTTCATATAATGCTAGACAGAAGAATTCTCAGTCACTTCTTTGTGTTGTGTGTATTCAAGTCACAGAGTTGAACCTTCCTTTAGACAGAGCAGTTTTGAAAAATTCTTTCTGTGGAATTTGCAAGTGGAGATTTCAAGCGATTTGAGGCTAATCTTTGAAATGGAAATATCTTCGTGTAAAAACTACACAGAATCATTCTCAGAAACTGCTTTGTCATCTGTGCGTTCAGTTCACAGAGTTTCACCTTTCTCTTCATAGAGCAGTTTGGAAAGACTCTGTCTGTAAAGTCTGCAAGTGATTAGTTAGACCCCTTTGAGGCCTTCGTTGGAAGCGGGATTTCTCATTTACTGCTAGACAGAAGAATTCTCAGTAAATCCTTTGTGTTGTGTGTATTCAACTCACAGAGTGGAACCTTCCTTTATTCAGAGCAGTTTTGAAACACTCTTTTTGTGGAATTTGCAAGTGGAGATTTCAAGCGATTTGACGCCAATCTTAGACATGGAAATATCTTCATATTAAAAGTACACAGAAGTCATTCGTAGAAACTAGTTTGTGATGTGTGCCTTCAACTCACAGAGTTTAACCTTTCTTTTCATAGAGCAGTTGGGAAACACTCTATTTGTAAAGTCTGCAAGTGGATATTTGGACCTCTTTGAGGCCTTCTTTGGAAACGGGATTTCTTCATATAACGCTAGACAGAAGAATTCTCAGTAACTTCTTTGTGTTGTTTGTATTCAACTCACAGATTTGAACCTTCCTTTAGGGAGAGCAGATTTGAAACACTCTGTTTTTGGAATTTGCAAGTGCAGATTACAAGCGCTTCTAGGCCTATGGCAGAAAAGGAAATATCTTCGTATAAAAACTACACAGAATCATTCTCAACAACTACTTTGTGATGTGTGCGTTCAACTCACAGGAGTTTAACCTTTCTTTTCATAGAGCAGTTTGGAAACACTCTGTTTGTAAAGTCTGCAGGTGCTTATTTGGACTTCTTTGAGGCCTTCGTTGGAAACGGGATTTCTTCATATAATGCTAGACAGAAGAATTCTCAGTCACTTCTTTGTGTTGTGTGTATTCAAGTCACAGAGTTGAACCTTCCTTTACACAGAGCAGTTTTGAAAAACTCTTTCTGTGGAATTTGCAAGTGGAGATTTCAAGCGATTTGAGGCTAATCTTTGAAATGGAAATATCTTCGTGTAAAAACTACACAGAATCTTTCTCAGAAACTGCTTTGTTATGTGTGCGTTCAGCTCACAGAGTTCCACCTTTCTTTTCATAGAGCAGTTTGGAAAGACTCTGTCTGTAAAGTCTGCAAGTGATTACTTGGACCCCTTTGAGGACTTCGTTGGAAGCGGGATTTTTTCATTTACTGCTAGACAGAAGAATTCTCAGTAAATCCTTTGTGTTGTGTGTATTCAACTCGCAGAGTGGAACCTTCCTTTATTCAGAGCAGTTTTGAAACACTCTTTTTGTGGAATTTGCAAGTGGAGATTTCAAGCGAATTCACGCCAATCTTAGACATGGAAACATCTTCGTATTAAAAGTACACAGAGTCATTCGCAGAAACTAGTTTGTTATGTGTGCCTTCAACTCACGGAGTTTAACCTTTCTTTTCATAGAGCAGTTTGGAAACACTCTATTTGTAAAGTCTGCAAGTGGATATTTGGACCTCTTTGAGGCCTTCGTTGGAAACGGGATTTCTTCATATAACGCTAGACAGAAGAATTCTCAGTAACTTCTTTGTGTTGTGTGTATTCAACTCACAGAGTTGAACCTTTCTTTAGAGGGAGCAGAGGTGAAACACTCTTTTTGTGGAATTTGCTAGTGTAGATTTCAAACGCTTCGAAGACAGTGATAGAAAAGGATATATCTTCGTATTAAAAGTAGACAAAATCATTGTCAGAAAACTCTTTGTGATGTGTGTGTTCAACTCACAGAGTTTAACCTTTCTTTAATCGAGCAGTTTGGAAATACACTCTTTGTAAGTCTGCAGGTGGATATTTGGCCCTCTTTGAGCCCTTCTTTGGAAACGGGATTTCCTCTTATAATGCTAGACAGAAGAATTCTCAGTAACTTCTTTGTGTTGTGTGTATTCAACTCACAGAGTTGAACCTTTCTTGAGAGAGAGCAGAGTTGAAACACTGTTTCTGTGGAATTTGCTAGTGCAGATTTCAAACGCTTCGAAGACAGTGATAGAAAAGGATATATCTTCGTATTAAAACTAGACAAAATCATTCTCAGAAAACACTTTGTGATGTGTGTGTTCAACTCACAGAGTTTAACCTTTCTTTAATCGAGCAGTTTGGAAATACACTCTTTGTAAGTCTGCAGCTGGATAATTGTCCCTCTATGAGCCCTTCGTTGGAAACAGGATTTCCTCTTATAATGCTAGACAGAAGAATTCTCAGTCACTTCTTTGTGTTGTGTGTATTCAAGTCACAGAGTTGAACCTTCCTTTAGACAGAGCAGTTTTGAAAAATTCTTTCTGTGTAATTTGCAAGTGGAGATTTCAAGCGATTTGAGGCTAATCTTTGAAATGGAAATATCTTCGTGTAAAAACTACACAGAATCATTCTCAGAAACTGCTTTGTCATCTGTGCGTTCAGTTCACAGAGTTTCACCTTTCTCTTCATAGAGCAGTTTGGAAACACTCTGTTTGTAAAGCCTGCAAGTGCTTTTTTGGACTTCATTGAGGCCTTCGTTGGAAACGGTATTTCTTCATACAACGCTAGACAGAAGAATTCTCAGTAACTTCTTTGTGTTGTGTGTATTCAACTCACAGAGTTGAACCTTTCTTTAGAGAGAGCAGAGTTGAAACACTCTGTTTTTGGAATTTGCAAGGGCAGATTTCAAGCGATTCTAGGCCTATGGCAGAAAAGGAATTATCTTCGTATAAAAACTACACAGAATCATTCTCAACAACTACTTTGTGATGTGTGCGTTCAACTCACAAAGTTTAACCTTTCTTTTCATAGAGCAGTTTGGAAACACTCTGTTTGTAAAGCCTGCAAGTGCTTTTTTGGACTTCATTGAGGCCTTCGTTGGAAACGGGATTTCTTCATATAATGCTAGACAGAAGAATTCTCAGTCACTTCTTTGTGTTGTGTGTATTCAAGTCACAGAGTTGAACCTTCCTTTAGACAGAGCAGTTTTGAAAAATTCTTTCTGTGGAGTTTGCAAGTGGAGATTTCAAGCGATTTGAGGCTAATCTTTGAAATGGAAATATCTTCGTGTAAAAACTACACAGAATCATTCTCAGAAACTGCTTTGTCATCTGTGCGTTCAGTTCACAGAGTTTCACCTTTCTCTTCATAGAGCAGTTTGGAAAGACTCTGTCTGTAAAGTCTGCAAGTGATTAGTTAGACCCCTTTGAGGCCTTCGTTGGAAGCGGGATTTCTCATTTACTGCTAGACAGAAGAATTCTCAGTAAATCCTTTGTGTTGTGTGTATTCAACTCACAGAGTGGAACCTTCCTTTATTCAGAGCAGTTTTGAAAAACACTTTTTGTGGAATTTGGAAGTGGAGATTTCAAGCGATTTGACGCCAATCTTAGACATGGAAATATCTTCATATTAAAAGTACACAGAGTCATTCGTAGAAACTAGTTTGTGATGTGTGCCTTCAACTCACAGAGTTTGACCTTTCTTTTCATAGAGCAGTTTGGAAACACTCTATTTGTAAAGTCTGCAAGTGGATATTTGGACCTCTTTGAGGCCTTCGTTGGAAAAGGAATTTCTTCATACAACACTAGACAGAAGAATTCTCAGTAACTTCTCTGTGTTGTTTGTATTCAACACACAGATTTGAACCTTCCTTTAGAGAGAGCAGATTTGAAACACTCTGTTTTTGGAATTTGCAAGTGCAGATTTCAAGCGATTCTAGGCCTATGGCAGAAAAGGAAATATCTTCGTGTAAAAACTACACAGAATCATTCTCAGAAAACTCTTTGTGATGTGTGTGTTCAACTCACAGAGTTTAACCTTTCTTTTCATAGAGCAGTTTGGAAACACTCTGTTTGTAAAGCCTGCAAGTGCTTTTTTGTACTTCATTGAGGCCTTCGTTGGAAACGGGATTTCTTCATACAACGCTAGACAGAAGAATTCTCAGTAACTTCTTTGTGTTGTGTGTATTCAACTCACAGAGTTGAACCTTCCTTTAGACAGAGCAGTTTTGAAAAATTCTTTCTGTGTAATTTGCAAGTGGAGATTTCAAGCGATTTGAGGCTAATCTTTGAAATGGAAATATCTTCGTGTAAAAACTACACAGAATCATTCTCAGAAACTGCTTTGTCATCTGTGCGTTCAGTTCACAGAGTTTCACCTTTCTCTTCATAGAGCAGTTTGGAAAGACTCTGTCTGTAAAGTCTGCAAGTGATTAGTTAGACCCCTTTAAGGCCTTCGTTGGAAGCGGGATTTCTCATTTACTGCTAGACAGAAGAATTCTCAGTAAATCCTTTGTGTTGTGTGTATTCAACTCACAGAGTGGAACCTTCCTTTATTCAGAGCAGTTTTGAAACACTCTTTTTGTGGAATTTGCAAGTGGAGATTTCAAGCGATTTGACGCCAATCTTAGACATGGAAATATCTTCATATTAAAAGTACACAGAGTCATTCGTAGAAACTAGTTTGTGATGTGTGCCTTCAACTCACAGAGTTTAACCTTTCTTTTCATAGAGCAGTTGGGAAACACTGTATTTGTAAAGTCTGCAAGTGGATATTTGGACCTCTTTGAGGCCTTCGTTGGAAACGGGATTTCTTCATATAACGCTAGACAGAAGAATTCTCAGTAACTTCTTTGTGTTGTGTGTATTCAACTCACAGAGTTGAACCTTTCTTTAGAGAGAGCAGAGTTGAAACACTCTGTTTTTGGAATTTGCAACTGCAGATTTCAAGCGATTCTAGGCCTATGGCAGAAAAGGAAATATCTTCGTATAAAAACTACACAGAATCATTCTCAACAACTACTTTGTGATGTGTGTGTTCAACTCACAGAGTTTAACCTTTCTTTTCATAGAGCAGTTTGGAAACACTCTGTTTGTAAAGCCTGCAAGTGCTTTTTTGGACTTCATTGAGGCCTTCGTTGGAAACGGGATTTCTTCATACAACGCTAGACAGAAGAATTCTCAGTCAGTTCTTTGTGTTGTGTGTATTCAAGTCACAGAGTTGAACCTTCTTTTAGCAGAGCAGTTTTGAAAAATTCTTTCTGTGGAATTTGCAAGTGGAGATTTCAAGCGATTTGAGGCTAATCTTTGAAATGGAAATATCTTCGTGTAAAAACTACACAGAATCATTCTCAGAAACTGCTTTGTCATCTGTGCGTTCAGTTCACAGAGTTTCACCTTTCTCTTCATAGAGCAGTTTGGAAAGACTCTGTCTGTAAAGTCTGCAAGTGATTAGTTAGACCCCTTTGAGGCCTTCGTTGGAAGCGGGATTTCTCATTTACTGCTAGACAGAAGAATTCTCAGTAAATCCTTTGTGTTGCGTGCATTCAACTCACAGAGTGGAACCTTCCTTTATTCAGAGCACTTTTGAAAAACACTTTTTGTGGAATTTGCAAGTGGAGATTTCAAGCGATTTGAACGCCAATCTTAGACATGGAAATATCTTCATATTAAAAGTACACAGAGTCATTCGTAGAAACTAGTTTGTGATGTGTGCCTTCAACTCACAGAGTTTAACCTTTCTTTACATAGAGCAGTTTGGAAACACTCTATTTGTAAAGTCTGCAAGTGGATATTTGGACCTCTTTGAGGCCTCCGTTGGAAACGGGATTTCTTCATACAACGCCAGACAGAAGAATTCTCAGTAACTTCTTTGTGTTGTGTGTATTCAACTCACAGAGTTGAACCTTTCTTTAGAGAGAGCAGAGTTGAAACACTCTGTTTTTGGAATTTGCAAGTGCAGATATCAAGCGATTCTAGGCCTATGGCAGAAAAGGAAATATCTTCGTATAAAAACTGCACAGAATCATTCTCAACAACTACTTTGTGATGTGTGCGTTCAACTCACAGAGTTTAACCTTTCTTTTCATAGAGCAGTTTGGAAACACTCTGTTTGTAAAGTCTGCAGGTGCTTATTTGGACTTCTTTGAGGCCTTCGTTGGAAACGGGATTTCTTCATATAATGCTAGACAGAAGAATTCTCAGTCACTTCTTTGTGTTGTGTATATTCAAGTCACAGAGTTGAACCTTCCTTTACACAGAGCAGTTTTGAAAAACTCTTTCTGTGGAATTTGCAAGTGGAGATTTCAAGCGATTTGGGGCTAATCTTTGAAATGGAAATATCTTCGTGTAAAAACTACACAGAATCATTCTCAGAAACTGCTTTGTTATGTGTGCGTTCAGCTCACAGAGTTCCACCTTTCTTTTCATAGAGCAGTTTGGAAAGACTCTGTCTGTAAAGTCTGCAAGTGATTACTTGGACCCCTTTGAGGACTTCGTTGGAAGCGGGATTTTTTCATTTACTGCTAGACAGAAGAATTCTCAGTAAATCCTTTGTGTTGTGTGTATTCAACTCACAGAGTGGAACCTTCCTTTATTCAGAGCAGTTTTGAAACACTCTTTTTGTGGAATTTGCAAGTGGAGATTTCAAGCGAATTCACGCCAATCTTAGACATGGAAACATCTTCGTATTAAAAGTACACAGAGTCATTCGCAGAAACTAGTTTGTGATGTGTGCGTTCAACTCACAGAGTTTAACTTTTCTTTTCATAGAGCAGTTTGGAAACACTCTGTTTGTAAAGTCTGCAGGTGCTTATTTGGACTTCTTTGAGGCCTTCGTTGGATACGGGATTTCTTCATATAATGCTAGACAGAAGAATTCTCAGTCACTTCTTTGTGTTGTGTGTATTCAAGTCACAGAGTTGAACCTTCCTTTACACAGAGCAGTTTTGAAAAACTCTTTCTGTGGAATTTGCAAGTGGAGATTTCAAGCGATTTGAGGCTAATCTTTGAAATGGAAATAGCTTCGTGTAAAAACTACACAGAATCATTCTCAGAAACTGCTTTGTTATGTGTGCGTTCAGCTCACAGAGTTCCACCTTTCTTTTCATAGAGCAGTTTGGAAAGACTCTGTCTGTAAAGTCTGCAAGTGATTACTTGGACCCCTTTGAGGACTTCGTTGGAAGCGGGATTTTTTCATTTACTGCTAGACAGAAGAATTCTCAGTAAATCCTTTGTGTTGTGTGTATTCAACTCACAGAGTGGAACCTTCCTTTATTCAGAGCAGTTTTGAAACACTCTTTTTGTGGAAATTGCAAGTGGAGATTTCAAGCGAATTCACGCCAATCTTAGACGTGGAAACATCTTCGTATTAAAAGTACACAGAGTCATTCGCAGAAACTAGTTTGTGATGTGTGCCTTCAACTCACGGAGTTTAACCTTTCTTTTCATAGAGCAGTTTGGAAACACTCTATTTGTAAAGTCTGCAAGTGGATATTTGGACCTCTTTGAGGCCTTCGTTGGAAACGGGATTTCTTCATATAACGCTAGACAGAAGAATTCTCAGTAACTTCTTTGTGTTGTGTGTATTCCACTCACAGAGTTGAACCTTTCTTGAGAGAGAGCAGAGTTGAAACACTCTTTTTGTGGAATTTGCTAGTGCAGATTTCAAACGCTTCGAAGACAGTGATAGAAAAGGATATATCTTCGTATTAAAACTAGACAAAATCATTCTCAGAAAACACTTTGTGATGTGTGTGTTCAACTCACAGAGCTTAACCTTTCTTTAATCGAGCAGTTTGGAAATACACTCTTTGTAAGTCTGCAGCTGGATAATTGTCCCTCTATGAGCCCTTCGTTGGAAACGGGATGTCCTCTTATAAGGCTAGACAGAAGAATTCACAGTAACTTCTTTGTATTGTTTGTATTCAACTCACAGATTTGAACCTTCCTTTAGAGAGAGCAGATTTGAAACACTCTGTTTTTGGAATTTGCAAGTGCAGATTACAAGCGTTTCTAGGCCTATGGCAGAAAAGGAAATATCTTCGTATAAAAACTACACAGAATCATTCTCAACAACTACTTTGTGATGTGTGCGTTCAACTCACAGAGTTTAACCTTTCTTTTCATAGAGCAGTTTGGAAACACTCTGTTTGTAAAGTCTGCAGGTGCTTATTTGGACTTCTTTGAGGCCTTCGTTGGAAACGGGATTTCTTCATGTAATGCTAGACAGAAGAATTCTCAGTCACTTCTTTGTGTTGTGTGTATTCAAGTCACAGAGTTGAACCTTCCTTTACACAGAGCAGTTTTGAAAAACTCTTTCTGTGGAATTTGCAAGTGGAGATTTCAAGCGATTTGAGGCTAATGCTTTGAAATGGAAATAGCTTCGTGTAAAAACTACACAGAATCATTCTCAGAAACTGCTTTGTTATCTGTGCGTTCAGTTCACAGAGTTTCACCTTTCTCTTCATAGAGCAGTTTGGAAAGACTCTGTCTGTAAAGTCTGCAAGTGATTAGTTAGACCCCTTTGAGGCCTTCGTTGGAAGCGGGATTTCTCATTTACTGCTAGACAGAAGAATTCTCAGTAAATCCTTTGTGTTGTGTGTATTCAACTCACAGAGTGGAACCTTCCTTTATTCAGAGCAGTTTTGAAAAACACTTTTTGTGGAATTTGCAAGTGGAGATTTCAAGCGATTTGATGCCAATCTTAGACATGGAAATATCTTCATATTAAAAGTACACAGAGTCATTCGTAGAAACTAGTTTGTGATGTGTGCCTTCAACTCACAGAGTTTAACCTTTCTTTTCATAGAGCAGTTGGGAAACACTCTATTTGTAAAGTCTGCAAGTGGATATTTGGACCTCTTTGAGGCCTTCGTTGGAAATGGGATTTCTTCATACAACACTAGACAGAAGAATTCTCAGTAACTTCTTTGTGTTGTTTGTATTCAACTCACAGATTTGAACCTTCCTTTGGAGAGAGCAGATTTGAAACACTCTGTTTTTGGAATTTGCAAGTGCAGATTTCAAGCGCTTCTAGGCCTATGGCGGAAAATTAAATATCTTCGTATAAAAACTACACAGAATCATTCTCAACAACTACTTTGTGATGTGTGCGTTCACCTCACAGAGTTTAACCTTTCTTTTCATAGAGCAGTTTGGAAACACTCTGTTTGTAAAGTCTGCAGGTGCTTATTTGGACTTCTTTGAGGCCTTCGTTGGAAACGGGATTTCTTCATATAATGCTAGACAGAAGAATTCTCAGTCACTTCTTTGTGTTGTGTGTATTCAAGTCACAGAGTTGAACCTTCCTTTACACAGAGCAGTTTTGAAAAACTCTTTCTGCGGAATTTGCAAGTGGAGATTTCAAGCGATTTGAGGCTAATCTTTGAAATGGAAATATCTTCGTGTAAAAACTACACAGAATCATTCTCAGAAACTGCTTTGTTATGTGTGCGTTCAGCTCACAGAGTTCCACCTTTCTTTTCATAGAGCAGTTTGGAAAGACTCTGTCTGTAAAGTCTGCAAGTGATTACTTGGACCCCTTTGAGGACTTCGTTGGAAGCGGGATTTTTTCATTTACTGCTATACAGAAGAATTCTCAGTAAATCCTTTGTGTTGTGTGTATTCAACTCTCAGAGTGGAACCTTCCTTTATTCAGAGCAGTTTTGAAACACTCTTTTTGTGGAATTTGCAAGTGGAGATTTCAAGCGAATTCACGCCAATCTTAGACATGGAAACATCTTCGTATTAAAAGTACACAGAGTCATTCGCAGAAACTAGTTTGTGATGTGTGCCTTCAACTCACAGAGTTTAACCTTTCTTTTCATAGAGCAGTTTGGAAACACTCTATTTGTAAAGTCTGCAAGTGGATATTTGGACGTCTTTGAGGCCTTCGTTGGAAACGGGATTTCTTCATATAACGCTAGACAGAAGAATTCTCAGTAACTTCTTTGTGTTGTGTGTATTCCACTCACAGAGTTGAACCTTTCTTGAGAGAGAGCAGAGTTGAAACACTCTGTTTGTGGAATTTGCTAGTGCCGATTTCAAACGCTTCGAAGACAGTGATAGAAAAGGATATATCTTCGTATTAAAACTAGACAAAATCATTCTCAGAAAACACTTTGTGATGTGTGTGTTCAACTCACAGAGTTTAACCTTTCTTTAATCGAGCAGTTTGGAAATACACTCTTTGTAAGTCTGCAGCTGGATAATTGTCCCTCTATGAGCCCTTCGTTGGAAACGGGATTTCCTCATATAATGCTAGACAGAAGAATTCTCCGTCACTTCTTTGTGTTGTGTGTATTCAAGTCACAGAGTTGAACCTTCCTTTACACAGAGCAGTTTTGAAAAACTCTTTCTGCGGAATTTGCAAGTGGAGATTTCAAGCGATTTGAGGCTAATCTTTGAAATGGAAATATCTTCGTGTAAAAACTACACAGA